>NC_000010.11:55294610-55446125 GCF_000001405.40 Homo sapiens
ATTAAATGTCCTGTTCATATTAATCTGTAACCAAATCTCTGTGATAATGCTTTGCATATAGGAGTCCAATGTGTTCATCATTCCCAATAAGCCTATGAACATATTGAATAGTCAGTTATGTAAGGACCTGAACTCAGGAATTGCTCACTCTCACATATAATGTACATATTCTGGACCAAGGTTACTGCATTTCATATTTGTCAATTCTGCATTTGAGTAATTTCCAAATAATAAAAATAGCTTAGAACTTTAAGTGGCAAGCAGAACACATCAAAATTCATTATATTTTTCCGTATTAAAATTTTTCTCTGATCTGGTTAAAAGGTAAATAGTACTTTTCCTGAGCTATTTTTATTAAAATATTAGTATTACAAGTTCCACCTCTTTTTAGATAATGCTTTCACTTAAAGGTGCTTATCCACATTAGCTGCTATTTCAAAGGCTGAAGACTCTTGAAGTCTGTTTTCTGATAACATTCATAAGATAGATATAAGAAAGTTTTGTGTCAACATCATTTAAAAGAAAAATATTGTATCTAATTTCTAACATACCACTCCTGTGTACATATGCAAAATCTAGTCTCAATTATACTTTCTCCCTTTTTTATTCCTACTTACTGCTTCTCTTCATTTTCTAAAAGTATTTCAGGTTTAAAAATACATCAAAAGCAAAACCAGTTTGAAACTACAGTTTCAGCATTAACCTTCACATAACACAGCAAGGATTCTTCCTTGTTATGATTTCAGCCTTGCGCACTTCCACAAATCCATGCACAGAAAGTCAGGCTCAGGCCAAGGATTTCTTTCAATTTGTTGAGAGAAACCAGCAATGTGATTAATAAGAATTATTTAAGTATTGTTGCAAGGCAAGGTGTCAAAAAATACCATGCTACAAACTTCCCGTGCTCTCGCCTTCATAGAAAAAGGAGAAGGAAATCTTTTGTATTAGGTAATGAAAAATGATTTACCTAAACATATTCTGGGATGTCCAATTTCTCTCTCACTTTGTGGGACTAGCAGTAAGATGCATGCTTTCACTCCTTCTTTTAACTTATCTCCATAGAATATTATTTGAGGTAAAAAGAAAACTTTATTTTTCTTTTTATTCACACAACACTTCTGACACCAAATGTGTGGGATATTTTTTTTCCCACACCAACCAATTCTCCAACTCTCTGGACACCAATAGAGTGTCCTAAAATTCATGTCTGACACTAATTACCTAGAGTTTTAGCACGGACATCACAAGTTAAGGGCTCAGCCTCACAACATTTCCCCACACTTCAGACACTAATCACAAAACATTTCCCCACACTTCAGACACTAATCACAAGTCCCAGGTAGTCACTTGCACTCTAACCACCTGTAAATTAGGGGTTCCCACAACCCTCTTCTTAGATCTTATACTTTGCTGTAATGACTCACGATTCAGGGAAATACTTTCTTATTACTGGTTTATTATAGAGGATACAACTCAGAAAAAAATGAAAAATAAGTGATGCATGGGGCAAGGTGTGGATTATGGGGTGTGGAGCTTCCATGGTTTTTCAAGGTGTGCTACCCTCCCAACACCTCCATTGTTCACCAACCCAGAAGCTCTGTGAACCTCATTGTTTAGAGGTTTTATGAAGTTTTCACCAAATAGGCATGGATGAGTAAATCATTGGCACTTTGTGACTGAACTCAATCTGTAGCCCCTCTCCTTCCCTGGAGATTGAAGGATGGTGCTGAAAGTTCCAACCCTGTGATACCATGGTTGCTTTCTCTGTCAATCAATGCCCATTCTCCAAAAGTCATCTTATTAGCATAACCTTGGATGTGGTTAAAGAAAGCTTATTATGAACAGCAAAAGATGTTCCTTTCACCCGTATCACTTAGTAAATTCCAAAGGTTTTTGAAGCTCTTGTGTTAGGAACCTGGGACGAAGACCAAGTATTATAACAAAAGATTTTCCCATTACTCCTATTATTCAGGAAGTTATAAGGGTTTTAGAAGCTCTGTAACAGGAGCTGAGGGCAGAGACTAAATCTGTATATTTTATTCCGTCACAGAAGCATTAATACATTGATTTGCAGAACGCTTTCATTGAAAACGGACCTGCTTTTTAATTTATTTTTTTTAAACTTAGACATAGTAAAATTCACTTTTTCTGTGTGTATAGTTCCATAAATCTTGACAAACACATTGTCACATCACTACCATCATAGTCAAAATACATAATTATTTCATCAACACCCCCCAAAATCATCTCATATTGTCCCTTTGTACCTCCTTCAAATACAAAAACAAACACTATAAGACTAACTTCTGTTGTTCTATTTTGTAATTGTATAATTGTATTTTATAATTTTTGTGGGATGTACTTTACTTTTAAAAAAAGTTTGCTGAAGTAATCTTATTTTTTCAATGAATATTAAATAGCTACTACAAACCAGGTACTCCATAAGTCATCTGGGACAGAGCAGTAAATAGAAAAGCCTTATGGTGTTTACATATTTCAATGGGGGAAAGGATGAGTAGCAAAAAATAAGCATTATAAATAAGAACATTATACAGTATGTTAGAAAAAAAATACCCTAAAGAAAGAAAAAAGAAAGAGAGAGATTGGAAGTGATAAGCTGAAGATAAATGATTGCAAATTTATATAGGGTGATCATTAAAAAAGTAATTCCATGGTTATAAACATTACTCAAATTCCAAATCTTTACCTGATGATAATCTGGATTTCATAAAATCTATTTTAGTGAATTTACATTAAAATGTGTTTAAATCAGTCTTAATTGAATTCACAGAACCATGTCACTGATTTTCCTTTTCTCTATATTACATTGTTTTTATTTGTAATTTAAGTCCATCTCTTTCATGTATTTGAAAACTGCAGAGGTAGGAAATAAATCTTAAAATCCATTTGTAAAATTATAAATTTTTAGAAAAATTTGGAAATATGTCATATTTTGGTTGTAATTTAAGCACATGAAATTATATCTTCATTCTCTCAAGACTCAATTTATATGACTTTAAATGATTAAAAAATTTATTAATTCATATGTATGAATGATGTCAGCACATTTCTTAAAGCTGGAAAACTGAATACTAAGGTGTTTGCCTAAATGAAACCAGCCTATCTGACCTCTAGGACCCTAGTAAGGGGCTGGGGCATGACTGAGAAAAGAATGAAAAATGAACACAAATTTACAAACTAAATAGTTGCACAGATAAAATTATGAGATTATCTCCTTACTTCCTTTAGTAACTCCCCACCCACTAGCAATCATAGATATTTGCTCTCCAAGCAGGAGACTGGAGGATCCTTTCCTGGTGAAACTGACCATTCTAGAAGTAAAGCCCTCCACAATACTAACATTTGGGAGAGGAGATGGAGTGGCTCTTAAAGAAATGAATGAATTTGCTCCTGGTTTTTAAAAGTGTAACTTGTTAGTCAACAAGCCCTGCTCAGCCACACAGAGCTCCCGGACAGATTTCAACACTTCACTCTTACATGGGAAAAGATGGCCAGGAATCATTGGATTAGAGAAAAAGCCTTTAATATCCATGAACAAGCCCAAAATACTCATAAGGAGAAAAGGGGAATAAGAATGCATTTAAACCCAGGATTTTCACAAAGCACAATATACTTCAAACAGAAAAATAATGTAAAAAAATATTGATCATTCCATGCAATTATGTTTACAAGATTTTAAATTTAGGAACAGCTAACCAATTTGTTTCTTAGAATCCTCAGCTGCAGGAATATTCCTTGAAAGAAAGGACATATGAAAGAGTTTCTGTAGGTAAGTCCTAGATTAAATAGGATTTCACAGATTCTGAGCATGGAAGTGAACAGATCTAAGTTAGTGAAAATTGAACTCTGTAAATGAACAAAACCATAAATCTTTCAATTTGGGAGTACAGTTAATGGAAAGAGAAACTAGTACTTGAATACCTTATAGAATACCAACTGGATAGTGTCGACTTATTTATTTATTTTTTTTTTTAAGGAATTTCACTGTCACCCAGGCTGGAGTGTAGTGGAGTGATCTGGGCTCACTGCAACCTCCACCTGCCAGTTCAAGTGATTCTCCTGCCTCCACCTCCCGAGTAGCTGGGACTACCAGCGTGTGCCACCACACCTAACGAATTTTTTCTTTTTAGTAGAGACGGTTTCACCACGTTTGCCAGGCTGGTCTCCAACTCCTGACCTCAGGTGATCTGCCCACCTTGGCCTCCCAAAGAGCTGGGATTACAGGCATGAGCCACCGTGCCCGGCGATAGTGTCGACTTTTATTTGAAATACATATCCAATGTCTCAAGTAGCTTCTATAATTTTCTCATAAGTATTAGCTTCAATGCCATGTACCTAGAAGGTCCCTCTCAAAAATCTCTTTTGGACTGCAATGAGATGGCTACTTACAACATAGTATGCAGGCTAACAGCTGATTTCTAAAATATTATTACTTCACTGTATATCTGAATCTATAATCTGACTTTAATATAATTGATTGAAATGAATAATCTATTTTTGGTCCTGGTTTCGTCCCATTTTATGATTTATTCCAGACTATACAAAAGATAGGCCCTCCTTCATGATGAATTGAGACCTGTGGTAACTTTCTCAACTCTTGGACAGATAGAAATAAGATGTAACCCATCAATTCTCATGGAGGTCATTAAAATGACCATTCAAAGCACAGCAAATGCAATGTGTTGTGGCTTTTTTAATTAAAGGTGTTACTTGTCAACCCATAGATAAGTGAGCTATGCCATTACTCCTCTTGCAGATGAGAGTGAACTCCCCACATCTTACGTTATAAGCCTATTTTCATAAATTAGATAATCAGAAAATGATGTCTTTCATGTACAGCAGTGTTGACCTGGTTAATAGAATTATATGCTTCCCTAATATGCACATAATTCGGGAGGGATCTGAAATTAGTGGAATTTTCTAATTCGCCAAGCTTTGGCAAAATCTTTATCTGGCAATAATTGGCCTTTAATTAGCAAATTCATATACTTTTACAGTTTCAACTCTTTCAGATTTCTTACACTTCTCAATGAGGGATGTGACAGACATAAAGAAGACCTTGATCCAAATGCTAATACTCAGAATTGGACCAACCTCCAATAAAATATGACACTCAAGTCCCTAGCTAATTTAAGTATTCAATTATAATTGAACCAAATGGCAACAGGCAAGAAAGTTTTAGAGTTCTTCACAAGGCAGCATTCTCGCCATTAAAACTCACTAATTACACTGGTCATACTATATATGAAGTTGGGTTAACAATGAATGGTTAAAGAACATGAATGCGGCATGTCACATAAAGAATACAGAATTATATAAACAACTTATAACATTTTTGTTTATTTTCTAAGAATATTCTAAATGCATTCGTTTTATCAATTTCATATTAATAAATGCAATATATATAGTTAGCAAATTTGATTAGACAATTCTCACACTGCTTTTTAAAATACTTATTACAGTCTGTATTGTATGGTGACCTGAGACTACATTTTACCACTTCCACTTGTTATCCAGAGTTTACCCTACATTAGCCTCTGAAATATTTTATTGTTCTCCACAGAAATTGAAATCCAAATTTAACCTACTATTCTACAGTGATATTTTTCTTTAGAGGCCACTGCTCAAAATGAGGTGCTTGTTTTCAGTACATACAGACACCATCTAAATGGCTTCCTGGATGATCTTAGCCTTCAACAGAGGTGATATGTTGACATGCATACCACACGAAGACACGTTATGCAAGATGCACTCATCAAAGAGATACAACCTGTAGGCACAGTGAGAATCCAAGACAGAGGAAAAGGATTCTGAAAATCCCGCATCATTTTCTGTCAAGCAATATACCTCTCTACATGTCACAATGTCAATGATACTTTATAGAAGCATAAGGAAACTCTCGTTAACAAAAAATCAGCACATTAAAAATTGGAAATTCACCCAATATTTACATCAACATTTTCATATTTTATCTAAATAATGATGAGATTTTTCCGGGAATTCTTAAAAAATTAAGCTCAAGTATTACATTCAAAATTGATTCAATTTAGAAAAACATGTATAGGAAGCTTATGAGAAATTTTTATATCACACAACATGCTGAACACTGATTAGAGCCAGTCTGATTTTTTAAATGAGATAACTGTAACTTCAAATGTCAATTTAAAAAATAATGCAGACAGATCTTATCTGCCCTTTACCCAGTTTGGACCGAAGACAACATATTGCACAATTTTAGAACAATATTACAACCATAATATTGACATTGATGTAGGCATCTATAGAATATTTTCATCAACACAAATATCTCTCATGGTGCCCTTTTATAGTCACATCTACATGGTATCATAAGTTCTTAAAACATGTACCTTTTGAAGGACATCTGTGTGGTTTCTAGATTTTGGCTATTATGTATAAAGCTACCATAAACAAACATTTGTGAACAGGCTTTTGCATTAACATAAATTTTTATTTCTCTAGGATAAGTGCACAGGAGTGCTGTAATGTATCATATGATAGTTGTATGTTTAATTTGGCAACAAACTGTTCAAAGTGTTTTCCAAGTTGGTAATGCAATTTTACATTCCCACCAGCAATGTACTGTGAGTAAATTTCTCTGAATCCTTCCCAGTGTTTGCTGTTATAATTGTTACTTATTGTATCCATTCTGATAGGTGTGAAGCGATGCCTCCTTATGGTTTTCACTTGCATTTCCTTAATGGCTAATGACATTTAATGTATTTTCATGTGCTTAATTGCTTATGACTTCTTTGGCAAATTACCTATTTCTGTATTTTTGCCCCATTTTCTAATTGTTTTTTTTTTCTTTTTTAAAGTTGCACATTGAAAATTATATTCTAGATGTTAGCCCCTTATTGTATGTGTGGTTTGCAAATATTTTCTCCCAGTCTTCAAATTCTTTCATCCTTTTAACAGTATCGTTTGTACAGCAAAACTTTTAATCTTGATGAAGCCCAATTATCAATTTTTCCTTTTATAAATTATACTTTTGATATCAAGTCTAAGAACACTTTGCTTTGCTCTATTGCCTAAAGGATGTTTTCTAAGTTTTTATTCTAAAAGTTTTATAATTTTACATTTTAGTCCATGATCCAGTTTGAGTTAATGTTTTACTAACTTTTGAGACTTCTGTTGAAATTCATTTTATTATATATGGATGTTCAATTGCTCCAGCAAAATTTATTAAAAAGGCTATCTTTCCTACATTGAATTGCTTTTGCACTTTTGTCAAAAAGCAGTTGGAAATTTGCATGGAACTGTCTGAGTTCTCTGTTCTGTTTTATTGAACTATATGTCTATCCTTCAGCCAAAACAGCACTGTCTTGATTATCGTGACTAGAAAATTAGACGAAGTTAGTAGAATGCTATCTTCCACTTTATTATTTTACAAAATTGTTTCAGCTGTGTTAGTTCCATTGCCTTTCCATATACATGTTAGAATATTATTGTCTAAAATTTGATAGGAATTTTATCAAACCTGTATCTCAAATTTTTTGTAAGAATTAGGTTAAATGTATGCCAATGTAGACAGAATTGGCATAATTACCATGCTGAATATTCCACTCTATGAAAAAAGTGTGTTTCTTCATTTATTTAGGTTTTTATTAATTTATTTCATAAAGTTCTATAGTTTTAATATAAAAACACTGCATATGTTTTACTAGATATTTCATTCAATTTTGAGAAATTGTAAATGGTATTGTGTTCAAATATTCATTACTAATATACATAAATATAATGGAGAGAGAGATGGGAGAGAGAAATTTGTGTGAAGAAATTGCCTCATATGACCATGAAAGCTAGTAAGTACAGAATCTGCAGGGTAAGTTGGCAGGCTGACCAAGGAAAACCGTATTTTGCACCTAGAGTGTCAAGACAGGCTGTAGGCAGATTTCTCTCTCCCTCAGGGGAGCCAGCCTTTTCTTTTTAAGGCTTCAAGTGGTTGGATAAAGCCTATCTAAATTAAGGAAGTTAACCTCCTTTACTCAAACTCTGCTGATTTAAACGGTTATCTCATCTCAAAAATAACTTCAAAGCAATATCCAGACTAGCATTTGACCAAATAGCTGGATACCATGTCCTAACCTTTATGTATACCTAGTTTATTTAAATATAAAATTAAACATCAAAAGTCCAAACCTTGTAAACTTGTCACACATTTCTTTAATCCATACTAAATCTTCAAGCAAAGACAATAACAAAGTCATATTTCTTGTTTTCATGATACAAGTACCCAGCATACAACCACAAATGCACTAACTCTTGCCGAGGAAAAGGATGCAAAGACCTTGAGTGATCTTCACTTATCTCCTTAATATCCTGTAACTAAAATACTACAACACAAAGTTAACATTACTTAAATGCTATGATATGAAGTCAATACATGTTATGTTCTATAATAAGGTTATAAGATAAGAAAACAAAGATATTTGAGATATATATATATATATATACACACACACACGGAAATGTTTTTGTAACAAAATAAGAAATATTCATGACAGTTATAGTCCTATCATTTCTGTAAGTGATTATGGGTCATAGCTAGTATTTATGACTACCTTCTTCTAATCCATTCTGCATTCTCTTTGCCCGCAGCAAAGTGGGCATTCTTTACTTGGTGGAATAAGCTAAAATTTCATTACTGAAGGGTTTGGGCTGTTAGTAGTCTTGCTTGAATCAGATTGTTGTAGTTTACTGTTGACATTAATCATAGGGAATGGTGATACTAAGAGATGCCCTAAGTTATCTCCTGTATTTTAGGCATGCTCTTCCTTATTTCCATTGTGGACTAACAGTCCAATTTCCCCTTGGTAATCGGATAAAACACCACAACCACACAGTAACTCTCTTATTTGCCTGTTGACTCAGAGGAATGAGGGTTTTGAACTGGCCAGGCAGCAGTCTTGATTTCCAGCTCAATTTCCTTACTAGTTATAGGGCTATTCAAATTATCTATTTCATATTGAGTGAATTTTGGTAGTTGGTGTTTTTTTTGGTAGAAATAGGTGTATTTCATCTAAGTTGTCTATTTTATGTGTATAGAGTTGTTTGTAATATTATCTTATTATCCTTTTGATATCTATAGAGTCTTTAGTGATATTCTTTATTTCATTCATGATATTGATAAATTGTGCCTGTCTCTGTTTTTGTCAGACTGTCTAAAGGCTTATTTTATTGATTTTTCAAAGAACAGACATGGTTGCCTCTATAGATTTTCCTTTGTTCTCAATTTTATTTATTCTGATCATATATTATTTCCTTCATTCTGTTGCATAGCATTAATTTTGCACTTCATTTTTTTTAGTTATTAGAAAGGAGCTTGCATTATTAATTTGAGAGGTTTTCCTCTCTTCAAATGTATGTATTTAGTGCTTTACATTTCCCTCTAATAACCATTTTATCTGTGTCTCACAAATTTTGATGTGTTTGGAGTAGCTAGTAACTGTGCAGCAAGAGAGGCTCCTCATTTGCACTCTGCTGGTCTGGGTGGGTGTGACCAGAGTTTTTTTCTTGGTGTTTGACTGCAGAACTGCAAGTAGGGCCTAAAGGTTTTCTGTCATGCTCAGCTGCACTTTTCCTGGTATTTGGATGGAAATAATAGGTTTTTGGGAGGTTTTCCTTTTTGCTTTTGTCTGAACCTATTTGGTGCTTTCAGGTTATCACCTTCTCCAGAACACAATTTAGGATACGTGAGAAAAAAATAAAACCTAAGTATATCACTGCACTGTTAATTATTTGAGTTCCATGGTTCCTAGCCAGTCTGCCTTCCTGCCATCTTTTCTCCACCTTTCAGGTTTTTATGTTTTACGTATATAAATGTAACTTATATTAACATAACATGTTTTTAAGTTGTACTTAGTGGGTGAAATAAGGAAAAGTGCATCTACTTCATCTTCCTTATAATCTACTTTTGACTCACTCCAAACTGCTTTTATAAGTCCTTCAGAAAAGAAAAAAAAGCATTGTTTTCAAATCCACATACATTAAAATGGTGTACAAGTTCTGAACTAATTGAGAAAGGAATGTAGTTCTTATCTGCACTGAGCTACTCAGTTTGAACTAATTCCAGTCATTTAATGTATACTGGCTTAAGTTCTCACTTAGGAAAGAGGGCTAACTATAGGTTAGCATCTACAGGCCAGAGTACCAACCTGCTTGGCAATATCCAATGATTATCTGTATATGGATGTTGTAAAGTTCTCTTATATCATACTTGATAATTAAAGAAAACTAATATCAATTCTAATATTCAATGTAATATACATACTGATTGAACTATTTCCCTCAAGTAGATAGTATTTTCATAATATTTCAAATACAGATTGTTTTGAAGAATCATAAAACCATAGGGCTTAAGCTCATAGTATTCCAGAAGAAGTAACGCTATCTGTGAAAAAAGAAGCCACTGCTTCCATATTCCATCCAGAACAAAAAGGTAACTATTACCTCGGCTTATCTTGCAAGTGAACATTCTGATCTATCTATCCCTTTGCTCATTCAGTGAATGCAACTTCATAGAAATCATTGTATTAGGTGCTGCTGGTAACAGAACAAGGAGTCAAAACTTTGGGCTAGATGACTAGCTCATGACCCACCAGTTGAATTGGATCTGCCTGGTTTCATAATTTAATTTCAATTGAAAGCTTTTGGCTCAAGCCAAGCATATGAATTTGAAAGGGATATCACACAGAAGCAGAGATGAAATGTTTCAATATCACAACAACCAATATATCCTGGGCAGACAGGGACATCTGATGGCTCAGAGGCAGAGAGGCAGAGTGGCATTGTCCTCATACCAAAGTGAAAGCCTGTAGCCAGCTGAGGCCCCCAGGCACTGTTGTCCCTCATGGCACAGAGCTGCCTTTGCCATTAAAGAAGAAAGAGAAACAAAGAATGGGAAGTTGAAGGATGACATGTGATTTATTTCTTTCCTCAAGACTTAACATAATGTCTGGGACATTACAGGACAAATAGGCACTGCAAAACTATTCAATGGGAATAAACTACTCTGATTTACAATTCTTTCCCTTGCTGTCCAACACTGGATAAGGCAGTGCTTCACTGAGAATGTCAATTTTCCCATTTGTAAAATAGGAATGAAAATAATATTATGTTGTTTCAAGGACAGAATTTGTCAATGTCCATAAATGTACTTTGTGAATTTTAAAGTGCTATGAAAATTTAAAGGAAATAAAATTTATCTACCATGCCTACCTTCCTCCTTGTAGACATGAACATGCCCAATGACAAAACATTATTACTATTCTATTTAATGAATAATTTAAATTGCAATAATCCCCACACAAAGCATAATAAAGTAATATTTATTTTTTACATTTAAAAACAACTTTAGCCTGAAACTGATTTTTTAATTAACATTGAATTTACCAATAAAATGGCAATCATGTATAATTTTAAATGTAAATGGTAGACCCACCCAAGCTATCATTAACATTGTGAAAATATGGATAATCTATCAATTTCCAAAATCAATCAAGAGTTTACCGTAAGGTAAAACATGAAATCTAATAAAAAGAATCAACCATGAGCCATCAGTATTTTATTACTATTGAACTTGCCCACCTGAAAGTTGAGATAAAGCTCGTTAACTCAGCAAGATTTTAATTCTAATTTCCTAGAATGAAAACATAAGTTTTATACCAACTGAAATGTTTTACACTTGGGCTTTGCGATGAAATGTTTTTCCCCTTACACAGTTCCTATCAATCTTTCACCTCCTGCATTTACCCTGAATCTAAAACTAATGAGGGGATCTTTTTGGTAAGGACACAAATCATGAATCATAAATCTCCCTCTTGGAGAGTATAGTGTTAAAAAAATATATTCTGAAAATTGAGACAACGGCAGTAAAAACTGTGATAATAGAGCATTCTCAGGACTGCAGAGTTCTGAGTATTCTATAAATTTCAAGTGTCAAGAACCTGGAAGGAGTGTAAAAGAAGTTACCATTTAATTTAATAGAGGCATAGTAGATTTAATAGAAACTCGAGATTCTCAGAATTAGAACTCTAATAAGAGATGCTTATTGATTGCCACAGGGGCAGAGTAAAGTGAAATCTTACATTATTCATGTTGAAAATCTTGAAATAGAATGTTCAGACAGATTTCGGTATGAACATGTTTGCATTCATATTCCCATTCAAAGATGAGTATACAGAAGAAAAGAAATGGCAAAGTTCCAATGGCAAAAAATAACATGGCACAATGAAGGAAAAATACATCTTCTTGAAGACGTGGGAAAAGTGTAGATCTTTGAATACCTGATAGAGAAACTAAAATATTAAGGCAAAAAAGTTGTGTTCAATATTTTTAGAAATATATACATATATGTATATATACATTAAGCTTCCTAAAGGAATAATTGTAATAATGCTATCATTATGTCTTCTCAATAAAATACATCTTAAAATATTTTTCTGCTATGTAATATGTATTTTATATATAACTTTTATATTCTTATTGGAAATATCAGATATTTTAAAAATTATATAAGGTATATTTTACATTTCTAATCTCTTGCTTTCTTTTAAAAATTTGTATTTTCGGACTGGCGTGGTAGCTCACGTCTGTAATCCCAGCACTTTGGGAGGCCGAGGCAGGCGGATCACGAGGTCAGGAAATCCAGACCATCCTGGCTAACACGTGAAACCCTGTCTCCACTAAAAATACAAAAAAAATTAGCCGGGCATGGTGGCAGGCGCCTGTAATCCCAGCTACTCGGGAGGCTGAGGCAGGAGAATGGCGTGAACCCGGGAGGCTGAGCTTGCAGTGAGCCAAGATCGCACCACTGCACTCCAGCCTGGGCAACAGAGCAGAGCGAGACTCCATCTCAAAAAAAAAAAAAATTATATTTTCTTTCCCAAAAGTTAATCTTAAATTAATCTTACAAAATTATACATTTTATCTTTTCTTTTCTGCTTTCTAACTTACTTTCTTCTTCTCTCTCTCTCTGCCTCTCTATTTTTTTCTTTTTCCTTATTGTTATATCACAAAGAGATTTGCCACACCTCCTACCCATCTTCTGTTAGTCTTCTTGATCCAACTTGCCCCCCAAACAAAATAATTAAAATATTTTTAAAAATTTATTCTTCCTCAGACACCATAAAAACATACTTCCTAATAATAATTTTAGATGCCTATCCTACTAATTATTTTTGATTTTATAAATATTGAAATTATAATTACAGAAAAAATAACATTATGCAATTATTACTAACGAGAGAGAAAAATGTTTATAATTTGCTCTTTTTGAATAAAAATAATTTTCTTTAAACAAATTAGAAATTTTTATTCAATAATCACATCCCTCTGAGTTAGAGATTAATGAGAGTCATACTAACATGCATTCCTATTAGTGCATTATCATTAAAAATTACTTTAAAAAGTTTATTTTAATGCATCACAATAAATAT
Organism: Homo sapiens; assembly: GCF_000001405.40. Classification (NCBI taxonomy): domain Eukaryota; kingdom Metazoa; phylum Chordata; class Mammalia; order Primates; family Hominidae; genus Homo; species Homo sapiens. Next base: position 55,308,089 of record NC_000010.11, read on the forward strand.
TATAGAAAACATTTTTCTATTATCAAGTGAGTTTCACTAAATAAAATGGATAGTTGGGGAGATTATAATGAGACCTAATTAATCTGATTAAATGTGAAAAGGAGTAAGCTATTTAATTCTCTCCATGGGCCCTTGGTTTTGAGATGTGTGTCTCTATAACAAGCGGTGAATTATTGAGCTCACCACTACCAGACAGGGCACACAAGTGGAGAAAGCAAACTAGAGAATGGAAGTTGGCTGTGCTGGAGTAAGCATTAAATTCTGATCTCTTTAGATGATAGCCAGAAACACTTTCCACTCGTATACCTTCTGGATTGGAGACTGGCAAAGGAATAATGCATCAGCTGGACAGGAAAGATGGTCCACGAAGAGCATGGTGTCTGTTGTTAATCTCATTATTTTGAGTAGGAAAGTGCCTTACCTATAAGCACATTCTATCTGAAATCATTTTCTAATACAGAGATCAGAGCATTGAACTCTGAAAGCAAAGAAAATAATCGTTTAAAATATAAAACAAACATAAAACTAGAACTTCAAATATACTTATATCTTAGGTGCCTCATTGTCCCTGTCCTCCCAGCATAGACTTAAAATCACCTGTTCCTACTTACCTTAGTGAAAAGAGGAAAGAACTATTCCAGAAGACCAAGCTATAATTATAAGTAGTTTTCCTTAAACAGCAATCCTTCATTTAAGAGAATTTTAGCAAAAGAAAACCACATTGCTAAAGACTTTTGTGGATATTTACATAGAATTATAACACAGTTTCAAAGGTAAGCTATTTTGAACTTGTGGCCATGTTCAATTTGGAGGTCAGTTTGCAAGGAAAGCAATATATTTACTCCTTTTTAATCTCAGCAACTTGAATGTGAGTCACAAAGCAATACAGATGGGACCATAAACAATAGTCTCATGACAAAAACTGCTTAGTTTTAAGAAAGAAACTAAAAGAGCCAATATATTTTCATGTTACAGGAATACTACAACTCAGACATATTTCACCTTTCCAACTAAAATCCAGTCATTGTAATTTAAGCGTTCTCTTACAATGGCTGCTCTTTTAGCTATTTATTTGCAAATTTCAATTTTTAATATATTCAAGTTGTATAATATTCTCTATGTATGACAATAAAAACAGTTAAAAGGCTGGGTGCTGTAGCTTACACCTGTAATCCCTGCATTTTTGGGCAGCTGAGACAGGAGAATCGCTGGAAGCCAGGAGTTCAATACCAGCCTGGGCAACAAAGCAAGACCCCACCTTTATGAAGAATTTTAAAAATTAGTCAGGGGTGGTGGCATGTGCTTGTATTCTCACCTATTCAAGAGGTTGAGGTGGGAGGATCACTTGAACCCAGTAGGTCGAGGCTGCAGCGAGCTATGATCATGCCACTGCACTACTCTCATTCTGGACAACAGAACGAGACCTTATCTTTTAAAAAAAAAAAAAAGTTAAAAGATACTTTCTTTGACATTGTGCTTTTGCTGAACCTAATGATATTTTTCAGGAGCCAGAGAAAATACTGAACTAGGATAAGAATATAACATAAATCAATGGGTGATCACAATAGGAAAAAAATAGTTTCTGATTAAACTTTAAGTGGGAAATCTATTGATTAAAAACAGATTACTACATTTGTTTCCCAACAAATTCTGTGTGCACCTTCATTATCTTAACTGTAAAGTGTTCTTTAAAAAGAGTTACATTCCACCATGTCCCACTTCAGGTTAAAATCAATCCTTTAATGTCTTCCCTTACTTGAGATGAATCCCAATCCATCACCTTGGCTAGAAGGGTCATGACTGCTCTTCATGTTGCTTGACTTATTTAGCCTATTTTGATGCTCTTTCTCTATGCCTATTCTACTTCCATTTTTTTCCCTTTCCTATCTCAAGTTTTTGCTCACCTTTCCTCCCATCCTTGAAATGCATTTTTTTCACTTTTATATTTTCCTCCATGGCTACATTTATTTTCCTTTTTGGAGCTTACACTAAATATCTTCTAGGAGAACTTAAACCCATATCAAGCATGTTCTTCTCATCGTTTAATTCAAAACACTTATTTGTTTTTTTATCACATTAAAAATCTATAATTATTTCCTTTATTTATTTCTTATAAGTCAGCCTTCTCCTCTAGCATGTGAAAACTCCAAAAGCAGGAAATATTTCTATTTTATTATGCCCCCAGCATGTGTCTGACACATAATGGGTTCTTAATAAATTTTTCGTAATTATTCTATTCTTTTATAAATATTGTTGAATCAGCAAACATTATAAAACATAGTGGAAGTAAATGAATTTGATCACTTTGAGAAAATAAAACTGTTATTACCTTTTTTTCATTTCTAAAAGAACTTGTTAATTCTAACCTATTTGTTTTCCCAATCCAGGCTAACTTTTTATTTAAGAATTTTGAATCTGAACTGGTAAAATTATGCTAAAGAAAATAATGTGCCATATAAACACATACAGCATGTGTTAAAAAGTTGAAAATTAACCAGTGAATTTGATATGGATAGACTATTAGCTTACATAATTCTATTTAAAAATGATAGACTGGATAAAGAAAATGTGGCACATATACACCATGGAATTCTATGCAGCTGTAAAAAAGAATGAGTTCATCATATCCTTTTCAGGGACATAGATAAAGCTGGAAGCCATCATCCACAGCAAACTAACACAGGTACAGGAAACCAAATACTGCATGTTCTCAATCCTAAGTGGGAGTTGAACAATGAGAACACATGGACACAGGGAAGGGAATATCATACACTGAGGACTGTCAGGTGGTGAGGGGCTAGGGGAGGGATAGCATTAGGAGAAATACCTAATGTAGATGACAGGTTGATGGATGCAGAAAATCACCATGGCATGTGTATACCTATGTAACAAAACTGCACATGTATCACAAAACTTAAAGTATAATAATTTTAAAAAAATGATAGTGGTTTGTGATCTGTGCAATTCAAATGAAATATAACATTGCAAAAGTATTATTTTATGGTGTGTTATAAAAGATGACTTCCAGAGAAGGTGGCTTTAGGAGATCATTAACACACTGTTGAATAAGAATCAGTTCTATCAGATTTCACAATATGTTCCTCAGTAACATAAAATTTGGTAATGCATGCTAAAGTCTACTTTGCTTTTAAAATTTTCAGATGGGACAGCTTATTTACGCTTTTATCTCATAAGGATCAGAGAGTGTCAGTGAGCTATTCAGTCTCTATCCATCAGCTTGTTAATATGAGATTCCCCTAAAGCAGGAAGTTATTCAGTCCTGCATTCAAGAGTGCCTCCATAGCGGTGACTGTGGAACCTTGATCATCTTGAATACAGTGATTACATCTTAGTTATTTTTCTATCTTCCCGCTGTATCACAGTGCCTGGCATATATTAGTGCCCCATGAAGGTTTACCGAAGGTATTTAACCAAATGCATTAGCCATAGTTTATCTAGCATTCTTGAAAAGTTATAAAAAGGATTACAATGGCACCTTAGTAGAATATTCATGAAATAGACCTTTTGGAAAAATGAGGAGATTGAGTAGATTTTTGAAGATCAGGTAGTAGGTAGGCAGCCTGATCAATTCTAGGTTCACAGAGGAAGGCTCCACAGAAGTGTGTTCTCTTCTTTGCGGCTAAAGGATGCTGAAGAGCACAAATCAAAATGTAGACTTCAGTCCTAATTACAGGTAACTCACTGTACACTCACAAAATCAGACAAGTAGACTCCATGTGTGCTAATACTCTTCCAACAGCCAAAAAAGGTTGTTTCTTAAAATTTTGATCTTAGATGCAGAACTCAATTTTCAATATTTATGTATTCAGTATGTTAGGTGCCATTTGATGATAAAGCGATGAATCATCCAACTCTAGAACAATTGGAAACAGCTTCTGATTTTTACATGCTGTGAATCAAGGGAGTAGCACTCTATTAAAAGAGGTTGTAATGTGGAGATTGTGAATTTCATCTGCTGTGAGTCACTGTGATGGTAAACTTTTGTATTAATTGTGTTTTCATGTTGCTCGAGGGCAAACTGCTGAAAGGAGATTATTGTAAATAAGCCATTAGTATAAAAACCCATTCGTGTCATATCAAGAAAAAAGCCGAAGAAAGCTATTAACTTTACTCTGTCAGTTAGCTATGTAACTCATGCATCCTAGAGGTTTTCTGTTGTAAGGTAAAAAATGCTATATGAATGCAATGGTAAAGGGTATCAGTTATTAAAAAAACAAAAATATTTTATTTAAAAAGGGTGAAAATATTTTGCATTGCCTAAGAGATTCTAAAAGCTTAAGAAATGTGAGCAGCTGGAGGTCCATCTGTTAGTATGAACATAATGAGACAATTTCTCATGGAGTAGACAGCAACCCACATTATGCCATGCACTGTATAATAAGTGTAGCTTGCTGTGTGTCTTACTTAAAAAAAGGCAAAATGTGAGTTTCCCATGATGCTCTCATTGAATATATAAAAGGAATATGAGCATGGATTCTTTATCATAGATGTTGACTGCTCTAAGTAATAGAGTTTTTTTTTTTTTTAGACGTAGTTTCACTCTTGTTGCCCAGGCTGGAGCGCAATGGCACAATCTAGGCTCACCGCAACCTCCGCCTTCTGGGTTCAAGCGATTCTCCTGCCTCAGCCTCCCGAGTAGCTGAGATTACAGGCATGCACCACCATGCCCAGCTAATTTTGCATTTTTAGTAGAGACAGGGATTCTCCATGTTGGTCAGGCTGGTCTTGAACTCCCAACCTCAAGTGATCCACCCGCCTCGGCCTCCCAAAGTGCTGAGATTACAGGCGTAAGCCACTGCGCCCTGCCAGGAATAGAGATATTTAAAGGTCCATATTATGGTATGCTGATGCTGTATTTAGCACAGAACTATAGTCCAACATCTAAGAAATAGAATTCTTAAATTCATTATCACTATTTGTGAACTAAAAATAATAGTGAAATACTAGAAATAAGAAAATGTACTTAGGAGTTCCTGTCCCCATAGAACTTCTATTTTAGAAAGAAGCCATAGTGCTCTAAATATTGCTCCTCTGCTCTCCTACACATAAGACACTACTCATACATATATATTCCAAATGTCTCTTTTGAGGAGAAGATATTGAAAAAAAACAAAACTGTTTAGAACCTTAAAATATTAAATATCACTAATTATAAATATTATAAAACAAATCCTCTTCAGTACAGTGGTTCCCTTCTTTTCTGCAGCTCTGATTTGAAGGGCTTGAGAAATGGGGAATTAACAAAAAATACAATTCTTATACATTTTTTAGAATTCCAAAATTTCAGTTAAATTCCTTCTATTTAAAAGTGCAACTGTGGAGAACTAACCTCGTAACAGAAAATTTTGTGTAAAGGTTACCCTTTGGGATGGCGTTACGGATGTTGAAAGAAATGGTAAAAATGTAAGCTTCTGAAGTTTGTAATGTTTTAAAGTTGACCCATTGCTTGCTAGTGCATAGGACAATTAATCTTTGAATTATTAGGCAAATAAAAATTTCTATAGTGGTATTTTACTTAGTTGTAAATAGTTCCGTCTTCACATATTTCTTTAGGTTTTATGCTATGAGTTGATTAATTATATTGCACATTCTATTATAAAATGCTATATGCCAGACTTCTATTTACCTGGGAAAGTGGAATAGAATAATGTGCAGTGGCTTATTAAACTGAAGGGACCTGAAAAACATTGCTGGACCAATTATGTTGAAAAACATGTTACATATATTGTGAGTAAAACAAAATGTGTATACCTATAAAAATATGCTATTTGTGTTCTACTTAGACATAAGTGGCTTTTGATGAGGGAGGTAGACAGTGTAGGGGATCAGGAAGAGAGAAAAGCAGAATAACTTGTGGGAACTTTTTCACAATACAGGAACATAATCTTCCTTTTAGGGTAAAGCAAATTTAGGCTTATTAAGTTTAAATTATTGAATGCATGATGCACACCCAGTTACTAGCAGATATAGATTTGAACCCAGATATATTCTGTCTTGAAATTCCATCTTCTTATCTACTTTGTTCTATGTAGACATCATTTATAATATATAATAAATTATAATTATATATACATTATATATGTTTGTGTGTATATATATATATATATATATGTAATGATAATATCTCAGTGTTCGTCATTACCCTGGGGAACCACTCTTTCTGGACTGTTATATATTATAGCTACCTTTCTCTTTATACATTTTCTCTAATGTTGACCTAACTCAGAACATATTGGTGGGAAAAAGGACATTTAACTGCTGAAGAAAAACAAAAATAATAATTGTCAAGAAAAGACAGCTGAGATAGAGGCAGAGTCCTCCTGAAACCCTGGCTCTCATCATAATGGGAAACAATTCCATGTCATTCATTCTTGGGTTAACAGAGTTTGTAGCTATTTCTTACTATCCGACACTGCCTGGGTTTGTCGCCACAATATTCGTCATTATATATATTACAGAGCTCTCTAAACAAAAAAAAAAATTCCAACTGCCTGTAACTTTTTTTCCCTTTCACTACAGTATAGTCACTACCAAGAGACAAAAGAATCAGTTATATTTCTTAAAATCCAAAACAAAGGCATCAAATGTAGTAGAATTGTCTTCTTATTCTTATCTTAAGTAGCTCAGTTACGTTTTTCCACATCTAAGTTTATTGAGTTTCTATAATGTGGCTTTTGAAAATGATTTACAGAGAACACAGAAGAAAAGCTGTATGTTAAAATATACACTTCTTGATATTTTGTTCAGTGATGACATTCAGAGTGAGATGACTGTAATGTTGGATATTGTTTCACAATGAATTAAAATAATTGAATACATTATTATTAAGAATCACAGAAACATACTATAAATACCTGGTGATTCATAATGATACGTGTTTGTAATATTTATACATCTGTGTACTTTGTTCATTTATAAACACAGAAGATATAGTTGGTGTTCTACTTAAAGATCAGAAAGAAATCTATATAGTTTTAGACTTATTCTTCTAGTTAATATATATGTGAACATACTTATTTGTCATATACTTACTGTACTTTCTTTCTATAATAGTAGATAATAATATTTGACAATACATAATTATATTTGAATTTCAAAAGATCACTCAGCCACAGTTAAGAATTGGTATTTTTCTTAGACTATATTATAAAAACTATTCTTTTTTAAGTCTTGCAAAGTTTTTGTAAAATAATTACAAATGCAAATGTATAAAATGCAACAACACGGAAAAGGGTGAAATGTATTAAGTATGATTTTAAAATATACTAGAGTTTAATTCAAGTGCTGTAGATGACAAAACCTTATTGAAAAATATTTCCAAAGATATAAATTATAGGCAAAGTTACACAGTTTATTAATAGTCTATATTGTGCTAAATCTCTAGTCTCTCAGTCTCTCAAATCAGTCCTCCCAATCACCTAGCCACAACTGTGTTAAATTATTTCTGTGTCTTGGTCATACTTTTTATTCCACCCTCATCACCATCCCCACATTTACATATCTACTCATCAACCTTGCTTTTTTATAATATTGATTTATGCAGGGGAAAAATGTCCATATTTATTCATTCAGTACTTCTCAGGAGTAATGAAGTCTGCAAACTTTCTATAGAAATACAAATATTTTGGCTGGGCTTGGTGGCTCCTGCCTGCAATCCCAGCGCTTTGGGAGGCTGAGGCAGGCAGATCACGAGGTCAGAAGTTCAAGACCATACTGACCAACATGGTGAAACTCCGTCTCTACTAAAAATACAAAAATTTGCCAGGCGTGGTGGTGCATGCCTATAATCCCAGCTACTTGGGAGGCTGAAGCAGGAGAATCACTTGAACCTGGGAGGCAGAGGTTGCAGTGAGCCTAGACTGCACCATTGCATTCCAGCCTTGGCAATAGAGCAAGGCTCCTTCTAAAAACAAAACAAAACAAAATAAAAAATACAAAATGTTTCTAATCAAAAGGACTCACACAAAAGTTGGATCTAAAAATGTTTTTTTGTAAATGAGTATATGTCCCAAAAATTTTTCCATTTTCTGTATATTTGAAATTATTTAAGAAGTTGAGTACCTACACCAATACATATGCTACTGTAAATAAATAATATTGTCACTGGTCATTAATGCCATTACAGCATTTTTTCTCAAACTCAGTGATTACCTGTCAGGGAAACTTACAGCTTGACAAGACATGAACCACAAAGAGATTCACAACCTAGATTAATAAATTATTTTAAATGTAGAATTACATAGACATGATTTTCAGAACATTGCAAATGATATAAATCTTAACATTCATAAATAAAACTTCTAGAATTGCCAGATGTTTATATCAGTTCTTAATATTTTGTGAAAAAGTATATTGAATTTTAATATCAGTTGCAGGATATTAATAATATTTATAAAATTATCATTTCCTATTAATTCTTTTAAAGAATCTATCATTACAAAGTTTCTACAACTTTTCCTGAGCCCATTTGTAGCTTCAGCTTGTATTTGTTTTGGAATACATTAATGAAGACAGATTTTATAAAGAAAGGAAGCATGTTTTGGAGTCAGATACAGAGGCTGTTAATTCATTTTTCTAAATTTTGTCACTCTTTTCGAACAGATAACTTCTAAGTATCAGTTTCCTTTTCTGTAATACAGGCACATTAATATGTTATTCATAATGTTATTTTGAAATTGAAAATGAGAAAATAAAAGTGTTAAATTTCTTAACACAGTGCCTACAACATAAATTCAATAAATAGTGGCTAATATTGTTCTGATTATTATTTGCATAATTATAGCTCTCATACTGAGCTTTCCCCCAGCACTAGACTCAAATTTGAAATCTGACTAGATTCTAAATCTCAACGTTTCTAAACAGAATTTAGCATCTTTACCCATATAAATCAGTTTTGCTTAAAGCTGGCTTAGCTTTTCTCATGACGCTTATATCAACTGGCACTACTATTCATTGTCATCATAATAAAATACTAGCTCTACTGCACACTGGTTGGGAACCAGGGGCAGATAGGGGAGGAGGGCATAAGAGAAGAAACTGAGCCTTAATTTCAACATCTTTAAAGTAGAAACATTTTTAAGATTGGTCTCAACACATTGTTGTGATTAAATGTTAGTATACACAAAGAACTTAACTTTACCAGCCACAAAGCAATGATTCAATAAATGCTAACAATTGTTACTTTATTATTAAATTAAAATTTTCTTTTAATCACAAATGTATTTCTTACATCAAAAAAATTAAGAACTCTAATAGGGCCTTATAGGCAGTTTTCCCCTATATGTACACTATTCTTTCCCATGTGTTTTAATATCTTACCCTTTTAATGATTTTAACAACTCCAGGATATGCAAGAGAGGCTTAATAGTGTTTTTTTTTTCTCTATTCTCCTTAAGATTTCTTATCAATAGGGTTATAGTCTATAATGAACTTATTAAGAGTTTTTAATAATTTCAGCTTGAAGCTCTTCAAAATTTATAAATGGAGTGCTTTAACATGAAAAGCTGAACATTCAATTTGGACAGAACTCTCTCATACTATAGTCACCCAGAAAAGGTTGTTAAAATACAGCAATAAGAAATATTTTAGTGCAAAACCCAGCTTAAAACAGAAAAAAAAAAACAGAATAGAAAATCCTCAGGTGATACAAGCGAAAAAGGTAATCAAAGTCAGATGGGGAAAAGTAAAGACAGTTTTACACATGGCTGAACGCCCAAGGGGTTGGTCGCCTGCACGCATGGAACTGGAAAGGCACCTTCTAGATCACGGAAAGCAAGGTTACATGAATTATGTTTGGGTCTGCTAAAAACTATTCCTTCAGTTAAAATAAAAGAAAGAAGGTGGAGATCTGACTCACTTGTTGAGAGCAATAGTGGGAAAAATTGTCGTCTACATAAAGTCTTAGTGAAAGATCAGAAGCACTGACCTGTAGTTACAGGAGTTCCAAGTTTAGAGCGTAAAACAACAATCAGACAAGAACGACTGAATTCCTTTGGTACTGATGGAGCAAAATAAAAACCACTCCGCTGGAACATTTTTATACCATAGTCATTGGTGTACCATATGAAAAATTTAACCCTCGGAAAAAAGAAAAGTTTATGAAAAAAACACACGAGAGAGAGAGAGGGAGAGAGAGTACATGAGTATGTGTTGGGGGCAGGGGTGTGGATATCAATGAGCTCAAACTACAGGACAAATAATATCTGAATAACTGGAAATAATACATTACTTTGAAGGAGACAATAAATTAAGTATGTTGACATAAGAAATAAAAGCAGACATAGATTCATAATGAAAATATAGTTCATTTTGAAAACTGAAAACTCAGATTTAAAACAAAAAGAATGCTCAAAATTTGGAAAGAGTGATAAAAATCGAAAGTTCAATGGATAAATCAGACTAGATTAGGGAATTCTGAAGAGGAAAAAACGTGGTCTGGGAGACAGAAATGAAGAAGTACCCAGAATTCAGTGCAGAGAAAATATAAAAAATATGAAAAGAGGCATGGCAAAGAAAAGGTAAAGTTAGAAGATGTAAATTATGCTTAATTGAAAATCAAAATGTAAAAAATAATATGATGAGAGAAAATATTTGAAAGTATAATATCCCAAAATTGCTCAAGTACATTTATTTCCAAACTAAAGGCACTAAGTGCAGGTCAAGATAAATAAAAACAAATCTGTAATTAGACACATGTTGGTGAAACTAGAACAACAAGAAAACTCAAAGAAACTTGCCTTTTTCAAACTGGAATTTTCTCAAAGGGAAGAAAAAGCATTTTTTTTCTGGCAAATCATAACCATACTTTGCACATAACATAGGTTTTGGAGTGCCTTCTCACCTTTAGTGTGGTGTAAAAATTTTTAAGGTGAGAATCTTATTTGTAGTAGTTTGGAGTTATTATGTCCATATGAACCTTGCAAAAACAAGAAAACAAACAAAACACACACACACACACACACACAAACACACACGATTCCCCTATGGAGTAGTACAATTTCAATCCTGCCATCAAATAATTCCCATAAGCACAGTTCTAAGAAAAAGGAGCAGTTCAAAGTAAACAGTCTCAAAAGACACAAGGACCAAAGGCTCTGTGAGTGAATCACAGAAGAAAATAACACATATACAAACCAGACTTCAAGAGAATTTGGGTACTGGAATTATAAAACATGACTTAAAATGCAATATTTCATATTTAAATGCAAGTATATAAATGTGTGTGTGTCAATTGTTAACATAAATGGAACAAGGAGAAAACAAAGGAGTTTCATTGCAAAATTAAACAAATATAAAACATATAGAAATTTTAAAAATAGATAGGGCTAACTAGAGGGTGGCAAGATGGCTGACTAGACATAGCCAGGATGAACATTTACCACCAAGGGACTGGGTCACCGGGAAGACTGACGCACTCCAAGCAGATCTTCAGAGGGAAGACTTTGTGGGGGATGGAGGGAGGACACAGACACTGGGCTGAAGCATGGTACCTGGAAATCCTGCATAGGGTTATCGCAAACCAGGACTTGTTCCTGGCTCCCAACAACTCCTTGAAAAGGGGTGAGTTGAGCAGGAAAAGAACAACTCGCTCTGGCTATGGACCTCTGGAATCCTGTCAGCAAGATACCCTACAACTCCCATGGACATCTGAGTTGGCAGGGACAGCTGCTTAGACAGGTGATAGTGGCAGAACTCCAGATGGTGCAGAGTCCAGAGGGTTTGGTGTGGGAGCATCTGCAGTGGAGCATAGCCAGTGACACCCATCTCCCAGGGCTTGCCTTGCTCCCACAGTAGACTTTAGCCTTAGGGGTACTGTTGGATCTGAACAGAGCAGGGTGATCTTGCCCATGAGACAGGGTGAGTCCAACCTGAGTATCCCTGTCTGCTGGCCTCTCCCAGGGCCCCAGCCTGGCCACACCTGCATTTAGTGCAGCCTCCCCAAACTGGAGCCTCCTCTGTGCCCTCCTCAGACTGGAGCCTCCTCTGTGCTGCTTTGCCAGCATGCACTTGCCCACGGCCACACACCACATCACTTTGTCAATGCATGTGTGCATAGGCAGACCTTGCTGCTTGTTCTCTACAGGTGCTGTGTGTGCTTGGACTCCACTGTGCCACTGTTGCTGGTATGAGTGCAAACTACCCCACCACCACTTGGCCATTGCTGGCACACACACACACACGTGGATGTCAGCAGCTCTGCTGCCTCCCTCAGCACCCCCTCCAACCCCACTCCAAACCTCCCCACCCCAGTCCACACCATGCCCCCACCACCACCACTGCAAACACCTGCATAGAGGCCAGTACTGCTATGCCTGCCAGCGCCCCAGTACAGTCAGCAAGCATGCACCCTGCCATGTTGCCCACTGCTGGCCTGTGTAAAAGAGCAAAGTTCCTGCTGTCACTGCCTGATAAAGTGCTTTGGCTGACATCACCCATTGGAATACTGTGATCAGCAGTCCTGGAAAACCTTGGCCCTTCCAGTGCAGCAAGCTTCTAATGTGAAGTCAGGGAGAAAAAGCCAGGGGCCTGATGCCACCCCCCCCAGAATTAGAGTATGCAGAGCCTTGGCTCCCTAAAGTCCTCCAGAAATGATGCCAGTTGACTGAACCCCTGTTATAACATGATCAAACCCCCAAGGATATCAAAGATAAAAGAAAAATAAAAAGCTCACTCAAAGGAAAGCAATGCCAAAGACTGAAGGAATATCAGCACACGAAGATAAGAAAGAACCAGTGTTATAACTCTAGTAACTCAAAAAGCCAGAGTATCTTCTTACTTCCAAATGACCACACTAGTTCCATACCAATGGTTCCTATCCAGGCTGAAATGGCTGAAATGACAGAAACAGAAAGCAGAATATGGATATTCAATAAGAACACATATTATTGAAAATCAGGAGAAAGTCAAGCCCAATTCAAAGATTCTATGCCTTACACTTTCACTACATAGGAGATGAAAGATGAAATGGCCATTGAAAAGAAAGAAGGAAGGAAGGAAGGAAAGAGAGAGAAAGAGAAAGGAAAAGAAAAGAAAAGGAAAAGAAAAAGAAACTACTCTGATAGAGTTGAAAAACTCACTTCAAGAATTTCAGAATACAAACACAAGTATTAACTACATAATGAACCAAGATGAGGAAAGTATCTCAGAGCTAGAAGACTGGCTCACTTAAATGACACAGACAAACATTTTTAAAAAATAAAGGAGAATGAATAAAATGTCCAAGAAATATGAGATTATATAAAGAGACCAAGTCTATGACTCATTATCATCCCTGAAAAGAGAATGAGAGAAAGCAAGCAACTTGAAAAACAACTGAGAATATTGTATATTGAAGACTGGAGAATTTACCCAACCTCACTAGAGAGGCCAACATTCAAATTCAGTAAATGCAAATAACCCCTGCAAAATACTACACAAAAAGACCATCCTGAAGACACACAGTCATCAGATTTACCAAGGTCAAAATGAAAGAAAAAAATGTTAAAGGCAGCTAGAGAGAAAGGACTGGTCACCTACAAAGGGAACCCCATCAGGCTAACAGCAGACCTTTCAGTGGAAACCCTATAAGCAAGAAGAGATTTGGGGCCTATGTTTAGCATTCTTAAAGAAAATAAATTCCAACCAAGAATTTCATATCCAGCCAAATTAAGCTTCATAAGTGAAGAAGAAAGAAGATTATTTTCAGACAAGTAAATGCTAAAGAAATTCATTACAACCAGACCTACCTTACACAAGGATTTGAAGGAAGTTCTAAACATGGAAAGGAAAACTAGTTACTAGCCACTACAAAAACATACTTCAGAATATAGACCAGTGACACTTTAAAGCAACCACACAAACAAGTCTGCATAATAACCAGCTAACAACACAGTGATGGGATCAAAACTGCAAATATCAATACTAATTGGTATGGTTTGTCTGAGTCCCCACCCAAGTCTCACCTCGAATTGTAATAATCCTCATGTGTCAAGGGCAAGGCCAGGTATAGATAATTGAATCATGGGAGGGGTATCCCCCACACTGTTCTTGGGGTAGTGAATAAGTATCATGAGGTCTGATGGTTTTATAAATGCGAACTCCCCTACCCATGATCTCTTGCCTGCTACCATGTAAGAGGTGCCTTTGCTTTTCTTTTGCCTTACACCATTATTGTGAGGCCTCCCCAGCCATGTGGAACTGTAAGTCCATTAAACCTCTTTCCTTTATAAATTACCCAGTCTTGGGTATGTCTTTATTAGCAGAATGGGAATAGACTAAAACAGTAAGTTGGTACTGGGTAGTGGGGCACTGCTGTAAAGATATCCAAAAATGTGGAAGCACATTTGGAACTGGGTAACAGGCAGAGGCTGGAACAGTTTGGAGGGCTCAGAAGAAGATAGAAAAATGTGGGAATGTTTAGAACTTCCTGGAGACTTGCTGAATGGCTTTGCCCAAAATGCTGATAGTGATATAGATAATAAAGTCCAGGCTGAGGTGGCCTTAGATGGAGATGAGGAACTTGTTGAACTGGAGTAAAGAACACTATTGCCATGCAAAGGGAATGGTCACATGTTGCCCCTACCCTAGAGATCTGTGGAACTTTGAACGTGTGAGAGATAATTTAGGGTATCTGGCAGAAGGTCAAAGGGTTCAAGAGGAAGCAGAGCATAAAGAATTGGAAAATTTGCAGCCTGATGATGCAACAGAAAAAAAAAATGGGGGGGGAGAAATTCAAGCAAGTTGCAGAAATTTGCATAAGTAACAAGCATTCAAATGTTAATCACCAAGGTAATAGGGAAAATGTCTCTGGGGCATGTCAGAGACCTTCAAGGCAGCCCCTGCCATCAGGCTTAGAAGGGAAAAATGGTTTTATGGACTGGGCCCAGGGACTCCTGCTCTATGCAGACTCCAGACAAGTCGCCCTGTGTCCCAGCTGCTTCAGCTCAAGCCATTGCTAAAAGGGGCCAACTTGAAGCTCAGGCTTGAGTTCAAGCTCAAGTTTCAAAGGGTGCAGTTTCCAAGTCTTGGCAGCTTACATGTGGCATTGGGCATGCAGGTGCAGAGAAATCAAAAATTGAGATTTGGGAACTTCCATCTAGATTTCAGAGGACGTACGGAAATGCTTGTATGTCCAGGCTGAAGTTTGCTGCAGGGACAGGACCCTAACAGAAAACCACTGCTAGGGCAGTGCAGAAGGGAATTGTGGGTCCCCACACAGAGTCCCCACTGGGGCACTGCCTAGTGGAGCTGTGAGAAGAGGGCCATTGTCCTCCAAACCCCAGAATGGTAGATCCACTGACAGCTTCTACTGTGTGCTTGGAAAAGCCAGAGACACTCAACAACAGCCTATGAAAGCGGCCTGGAGGAGGGCTATACCCTGTAAAGCCACAGAGGCAGAGCTGCCCAAGATCATGGGAACCCAACTCTTGCATCAGTGTGACCTGGATGTGAGACATGGAGTCAAAGGAGATCATTCTGGAGCTTTAAGATTTGACTGCCCCACTGGATTATGGAGTTGTATGGGCCTGTAGTTCCTTTGTTTAGGCCAATTTCTCCAATTTGAAATGGGTGTATTTACCCAAATGCCCATTACATTGTATCTAGGAAGTAACTAACTTGCTTTTGATTTTACAGGCTCATAGGCAGAAGGGACTTTTCTCAGATGAGGCTTTGGACTGTGGAGTTTTGAGTTAATGCTGAAATCAGTTAAGACTTTGCAGGACTGTTGGAGAGGCATGATTGGTCTTGAAATGTGAGGACATGAGATTTAGGAGGTGTTGGGGTAGAATGATAGGTTTGGCTGTGTCCTTACCCTAATCTCACCTTGAATTGTAATAATGCCCATGCATCAAGGATGGGGCCAGGTGGGGATAATTGAATCATGGGGGATGTTTCCCCCATGCCATTTTCCTGGTAATGAATAAGTCTCACAAGATCTGAAGCTTTTTCAAATGGGAGTTCCACTGCACAAGTTCTCTTCTGTGTTGTAAGACATGCCTTTGCTTCTCCTTTCGTGGACTGGGCCCAGGCATCCTCAGCCATGATTTTGAGGAATCCTCAGCCATGTGGAACTGTTAGTCCATTAAATTTATTTCCTTTACAAGTTACCCAGTCCCAGGTTTATCTTTACTGGCAGTGTGAGAACAGACTAATACACTAACCTAGTATATAAATGAGCTAAATGTCCCAATTAAAAGTCACAGAGTGGCAAGTTGAATAAAGAAGCAAGACCCAACTGTATGCTGCCTTTAAGAGAACCATCTAACAAGCAATGACACGCATAGACTCAAAGTAAAGGGATGGAGAAAAATCTACCAAGCAAAAGGTAAACAGAATAAAAGCAAGAGTTGTTATTCAAATTTCATTCAAAACCGACTTTAAATCAACAAAAATTTTAAAACAACAAAAAGAGTATTACATAACGGTAAAGGCAAGAACTAAGTATCCTAAATAGGCATGCACCCAACACAGGTGCACCCAGATTTATAAAGCAAGTACTTAGAGACCTATGAAGAGACTTAGATAACCAAACAATCATAGTGGGAGACTTCAACACACCACTGAGAGTATTAGACTGATCATTGAGGTAGAAAACTACAATTTTTTTTTAGTTTAATTCAGGGCCTGAACTCAACAACTGACCAAATAGACCAAATAGACATCTACAGAAATCTAAAGAGAGAAAGTCAAACTATCCCAGTTTTCAGATGATACAATTCTATAAATAGAAAATCCCACAGTCTCTACCCAAAAGCTTCTTGAGCTAATAAATAAATACAGGAAAGTTTCAGGACACAAAATTAATGTGCAAAAATTAGCAGCATTTCTATACACCAAGAATATCCAACCTGAGAGTCAAATCAAGAACGCAATCCCATTCACAATTGCCACAAGAAGAATGAAATACATAGGAATACAGCTAATCAGAGAGGTAAGAAATCTCTACAACAAGAATTACAAAACATTACTCAAAAAAATAGGAAATGACACAAAGAAACAGAAAAACATTCCCTATTCATGGACAGGAAGAAGCAATATTGTTAAAATGGTCATACTGCCCAAAGCAATTTATAGATTCAATGCCATTCCTATCAAACTAACAATGACACTCTTTAAATAATGAGAAAAAATGATCTTAAAATTCATATGGAACCAAAAAAAGCTCAAATAGCTTGGGCAACCCTAAGCAAAAATAACAAAGCCTGAGACATGATGTTACAGGATTTCAAAGTACACTACAAGGCTACAGTGACCAAATAGCATGGTATGGTACAGAAACAGACACATAGACCAGTGGAACAGAATAAAGATCCCAGAAATAATGCTGAACCCCCATGATCATCAGATCTTTGACAAAGTCAACAAAAACAAAAGATGGGGAAAGGATTCCCTATTCATTAGATAGCGCTAGGATAACTGGCTAACTATACGCAGAAGATCAAAACTGGACCCCTTACTTACACCGTATACAAAAATCAACTCAAAATGGATTGAAGACTTAAATATAAACCTAAAACTATAAACATCCTGGATGATACCTTAGAAAACTGGACATAAGAACTGGCAAAGATTTCATGCCAAAGACACCAAAAGCAATTGCAACAAAAGCAAAAATTGACAAATGGGACCTAATTAAACTAAAGTGCTTCAGTGCAGCAAAACAAAACAAACAAACAACAACACCAACAACACAATCTATCAACAGACTAAACAGACAACCTACAGAATGGGAGAATATATTTGCAAACTATGTTGTCTGATAAAGATCTAAATTCAGAATCCATAAAGAACTTAAGTCGACAAGCATAAAAGAAACAACCCCATTAAAAAGTGGCCAAAGGCATGAAGAGACACTTTTCAAAAGAAGACATACGTGCAGCCTACAAGTATATGAAAAAAAATGCTCAGCGTCACTAATCATTAGAGAAATCCAAATCAAAGCCAAAAAGTGATATCATCTCACATGAGTCAGTATAGTTATTATTAGAACATCAAAAAATAACAGATGCTGGTGAGGTTGCAGAGAAAAGAGAACACCTTGCTGGTGGGAATGTAAATTCATTCAGCCTTTACAGAAATCAGTTTGACAATTTCTGAAAGGACTCAAAGCAAAGTTACCATTTAACCCAGAAATCCCATTATTGTGTGTATACCCAAAGGGATATTAATTATTCTGTCAAAAAGACACAGGCACACATATGTTCACTGCAGCCTTATTTACAATAGCAAAGACATGTAATCAACCCAAATGCCCATCAACAGTAGACTAATAAAGAAAATGTAGTACATGCATAGCATGGAATGCTGCACAGACATAAAAATCAATGAGATCAGTTCTTTTAAGGATCATGGATGGAGCTGGAGGCCATTATCCTAAATGAACTAACACAGGAAAATAAAACCAAATACTGCAGCTTGCCTGTATAACAAACATGCACATGTATACATGAACCTAAAAGTTAAAAAAGACAGAATATTAAAAAAAATGAAACTGCAATTTAATACATAGTTTAAATAGTAAGTCATATTTTAAAAAATTAAGTAGTTAGCAAATAAACAGTTAACAGAAAGAGAAATTTAAATTATTTGCAATATAACAAAAGGAACAAAAGATGTAAAATATGACACAAATTTAAAGAAAACAACAAAATCTAACACATACCTAACAGAAATCCACAAAGGTATACTGTAAAAAAAATTGAGAAGGATTACGAAGAGATAATGAAAAGTAAATTCCAGATATTCTCAAAGATAAATACTCAGATCTAGACAGTGCCAAAAAACTCAAGCATGGTACATTTAAAAATACTTTCTAAACAAATGATGCTGGAATGGTTACCACATGTAAAAACAAATGTATTTCTAGACATAGACCTTACATAGTTTACAGAAAAATAACACAGAAATTCAGAATGGATCATAAATGTTGCTGTGGAATGACTGTTTATGTCCACACAAAAGCGGTAAAATCCAAAATCCCAAAGTAATGGTAATAGGAGGTGAGGCCTTTGAGATATGATTAGGATGTAGGACCAGAACCCTCATGAATAGAATTAGTGCCCCATAAACGAGACCCCAGCAATATATCTGGCCCCTTCTGCCATGTGAGGATACATTACAAAGTCAGCCATCTATGAACCAGGATGTGAGCTCTTACCAGACACCAATTCTGCTGGTGCCTTGATGATGAACTTCCGAGTCTTCAAAATTGTGAGAAATAAATTTCTTCTGTTTATAAGTCATTTAGCCTATGGCATTTTTGTTACAGAAGTTTGAATGAAATAATATAGACCCAATGTGAAATGCAAAATAATGAAAGCAAAAGAGAAGAAAAGGAAAGAAGAACTGAAAGAAGGGAAAATGTTGAGGCTGTTATCAGAAGAATCATACTAAAGGCAAGTTTAACATACAACAGAAAAGGATTAATTTCATCACACATTAATTCTTGGCAAACATGTTATATTCAATACCAAGATCATTTACTACATTTAAAATGTACTTTAATGAGTCAAAAGTCAATGTAATCAATTTTCAGAGTAAAAAAAATCAGCATAATGTCTGATATATTTAAATACTGATTTTCATTTAATAAGTAATTGACTGAAGCATTTGTTTCCAATTTTAATTGCATAAAAGTTTTGAATTTAACATATGCATGTTAATAGCTGACACCTAAATTTACCTGGAAACTAAAGCCATGATATGAATACTACGCTAAAAATAGTAAAAATGTGTTTGTTTTTTTGTTTTCCAATTATTAACCCTCTCCCTCTACAGTCCATGTATGGCAAGATAGTAATCACCCAAAGACTTCATTCATGTTTATTGGCTGTCAGTCACTTAGTCAGGATACAAAACATATGATTACTTCCTTCACTGTTTTATTATTTTTGTTTATGCTATTGTTGTTTGGAAAGATTTAATACAATAACATACAACTTTTTTATATGAAATACATTGCTTGGGGAAAGTGATTCTAATAAAACGAAACTTTGTATGCTGTTAGTTGAACAGATATAACCATCTTTCCCTTATATGAGAAACATATTTATAATAATTACAGTGTTGATGCCGTACAAAATTGTATATACACATACACACATACACACTACACTATGCATATATATTTTACAATAGGACAAAACTATATATATATAGAAATACAGTCATTCATTGCTTAATAATGGGATACATTCTGATAAATGAGTCATTAGGTTTTTTGTAGTTGTGTGAATATCATTGAGCGTACCTACACAAATTTATGTGGTGCAGCCTACTACACATGTATATGGTCTAGTCTATTGCTCCTAGGCTACAAACCTGTGCCACATTTTACTATACTGAATACTGTAGGCAATTGAAACACAATGGTATTTGTTTATCTAAACCTAGCTAAACATATAATGGTACAGTAAAAATACGGTATTATAATCTTATGGGATCGCCATTATATATACAGTCCATCATTGGCATCATTATTCAGCACATGGCTGTATATATACTCAACACTCCATATTCATTGGTTCCATATATGAGGATTCAATAAACTCTCAGTCAAAATTTTGAGGGGAAAAAAAACCCTGTGTCTGCACTGAACACATACAATTTATTGTCATAATTCCCTAAACAATACAGTACAATTATTTACATAATATTTACATTTTATTCGGTACCGTAGGTCATCTAGAGATTATTTAAAGCATATAGGGGGATGTGCATAGATTATATGTAATATTATGCCACTTTATATGAAGTTCTTGAGCATCTACAAATTTTGGTATCAACCCCACAGATTGTGAAAGATGACTGTATATTTTCACACAAACATATATATATATATATATATATATATATATATATATAAAATATATAATATGGGGATGTACACAAACATTTGGAAATATATTCCATTTTCGTGTGTGTGTGTGTGTGTGTGTGTTTGTGTGTGTGTGTATGGAAATATGAAGTAATGGGTTATTGAAACCTAAAGTTAAATAAGACATGCTCCATGGGGGGAAACATTGTACAGAGAAGAGACTTGTAAGACAATAATGGTATGGAATATTTCTAAAAATATCTCGTGAGGACACTTGGGGTCCCCAAGACCCTTTCATGGGATCTGGGAATTCAAATTATTTTATATAATATAATGCTTTATTTGCCATTTTCACTCTCATTTTCTCATGATAACCATGAAGTTTTAAAAGGCTACATGTATTGTGAGTACATTGTTACTCTGAGAGCTAGCAAAATATGTATTCTTGTGTTTAAAAATATTGTTTTAATTTCTAATAGAGTAATGTCAATAGATATAACCCACATAAACAGAAGCTCTTTGGAGTCCTCAATAATTTTAAGAGAGAAAAAGGGTCTTGAAAGCAAAAAAAAATTCAGAACCACTTTTTAGATAGGACATGAATTCTATTGAGAAATGCAAAAGGTGTTTAGGGAAATGAGGAGAAAATTTACTAAGAAAATTATAGTTTGTTAAGGGAGCAAGATGAGGGACTGCTAAAATAGACTCAGGTTAGCCCTGAAAATTCAGTCTTGTTTACCCAGTCTTATTATTTCCCAATGACATGAAACCTATAGAGAGTGGGGAAGTCTCAATAAAGGGAGAGATTTGTGTATAATTTTGAGATGCCAACCAATAATATAGGTTCTAAGAATATATGATTAAACAGGAAACAGATTACTTATACAGAGTTTTAGCTGAAATGAGTCCACCTAAGGATTGGGCATATTTTTTTCCATACAAAGGGAGGTATTAACACCTTCCCAAGACCTATTAAGGTGACAAATATGTAACTGTTTAATTAGGGTAATAGAGACTCCAATGTGGACACTTCATAATGCAACTGACATGCTATGAACTGCCATTTTACTGAGTCACATTACTTTCTTTCACTGTAAATGACATAATTGACATGTTATGAACTGCCTTTTTATTGAGACACATTATTTCTTTCACTGTAAATGACATATCTCAGATATCCTAAAATATAATTTAAAACTCTTAGTAAAATCAAATTTTCTTAAATTCATATACTATTATTTAGTGATTAAACTTATTTTAATAGTTAAATTTAAAATATGTTTAGTATCTAGATATTTGAGGCTTTTATACATGATGTTTGCATTCAAGGATCATGAGATTCAGAAAGTTAAAATCAAGCTTTTATTTGCCTAAGAAACAAGATATATTTGCCTCGCTTTTGACAGTATTATAAAAGGCATCACTGATGAAAACCACTTATACATATAAAGCCACTTTAACAGATGTAAAGAACATTGTTGATAAGAAACCACCAATATTAGGTATTATATTTTATTAGGTATTTTAGATTCAGTGGCACTGGCACTGGTGATTATTTCTTCCTTTTCCTAAAGAATAAAAAGATCTGTCAAATTGCTTATCTTTTCTACATGCATTTCCACTGAAAAAATATTCAGGGTTGTCAAGTCCTAATACATTATTGGGAAATTATAGCTGTTATTTTTAACATAAATTAAGCAGTCCTAGATATTTTACATGACAGGTTTACAATTTTCACTGAGAATGACCATGTAGATACTTTAGAAAAGCCATCAATGTGTGACTCATCATTACATTATTGCAGTGTTCATGTTGAAAGGAACACCAGATAAGCTTAGCTTTTTGATCCTGATGACGAAGGTCTCCATATTACCAATAAAAATAAGTGAACCTGGTGATTTCTCATTATCTCTCTTAAATAGATAGATTTATTTATGTGTGTGTGTGTGTGTGTGTGTGTGTGTGTATGTGTATGTGTATGAGGGAATACTCTGCTTCATTTTAGCTTAAGTATTAATTTTGAGCTGTTGAAAATGCTTTGCAGACTCAGGAAATTTTGAAGGATGGAGCATCGCCACTCTCCTATCCAATATTATTTAGTAAAATTATGCCTGACATGTTATCCATTATACTTAAGATACTTACGATTTCTTAAGAAATTCTCTTCTCAAGAGGGAAATGATGCTAACAACAATGGTAACAAGGCTTTTCTCCTTCATCTCTTCATTTTTCTCATCTATATTTTAAAAACTTCCTTTGCCAAAAACAGTGTGTTAATAGTGTCACCATCTGAGTGTATTCTGTCAAAATATAGCTTGCACAACTCACGAGTGTTACTAATATTTTTGGGTATTTCCTATTGATATTTTTAAGAATGATTTGTAGTACTGTAGGTGATGTGCCATATATGAGACTATTTTCTCAACAATAATCTTTATATATACTTTGGATCAACTTTTGTCTTATCAGAATTATTATTAATGTATTTGATGTTCCAATGGTTACAATATTTTTTAGTATAGTAATAGTAAGTAGAATTGCTTTAAAAAAAGGAATGATATGTATCTGTCCAAGAACCAAGATACCTACCATTGAGAGCCTCTTGAAAACCTAAAGAAAGCAGCTTTGAGATTCCTGAGAGTTTAAACAAAGTGGTTGTAGGGGAGAGTCTACAACATTATGGTAACTGTGCACAAGGATATCCTTTGATATAAAACACAGCCATGAAGCTCTCATTGTAGAAACAAGCAAGGTGGGTCTCCAGAAAGAAACTGCGGCTGTATATTTACCTCTATTCTGCTACTCACAAATGGTCTGAAAGAGTGGCCTTTGTGAACAAGGTAACCTCTTAAGAAACATCTTGGAATTCTTGATTTGAAAGTTTGAAAAAGCATTATTAACGGGTAACAGGATATAAGAAATGGCAAAATACATCTTCAATAGTGTAAATCTCACTCACCACAATAAAATCTATTAACTGAATATGACAGCGTTCCATGATAATGGAAAACAAATGCAAGAGGAAGGAAGTGAAGATGACATGCAAAATAATCACTAATATTCATGATATAGGAGATGTACATCAAAACTGGCTGCCATTTACAGTCACTACAAGGGAAATTAACTTAAAAAGTTTGACATAAAAGAGTAAATAGAAACAAGTGGTGTAACATTTATTTTTCTATGTAAATGTCAATTATTTGTGAAGACCAATATGGTTTATTAGGATACTTGTTTCTCTTATTCTCTGGTTACCAAATTAAACATTGAGATATTTTAGTATAAAATAGCAAAAGGTGATAAAGATATATGTCTTTTATATAAACATTAAATATGATACTTTTGCTGTTCATTAAATAACGTTTTCTAGGTCTCACATTTTATGGCAGTTAATGGATATTTGATACTATTTAAGGTTTAAACCAAAAGCCAGATATCAAATAAAACTATAGTACTTGATTTGATTGTGAACTGGAAGAGGTCCCCCATTGGCAAAGGATAAGGCAAATTGTGTGTCAATAACAAGAGCTAAAATAAATAGAACTAGATCAAATCCATAACTTCCAATTGACACTAAAAATATATCTCATATTGATGACATTTGGAGGATACTAGAGAACCAAATTATTGATCATAAAACTAATCAATATCAGTAAAGAATAAAGTATCTTGCTGACATGGTTTGGCTGTGTCCCCACCCAAATCTCATCTTGAACTGTAGCTCCCACAATTCCTATGTGTTGTGAAAGGGACCCAGTGGGAGATAATTGAATCATGGGAGTGGTTTACCCCACAATGTTCTCATAATATTGAATAAGTGTCAAAAGATCTGATGGTTTTATAAGGAGTTTCCTTTTTTAGCTTGGCTTTCATTCTCTTTTGCCTGCCACCATGTAAGACACGCCTTTCGCCTTCTGCCTTGATTGTGAGACCTCTCCAGCCATGTGGAACTGTGAATCCATTAAACCTTTTCTTCTTTATAAATTACCCTGAGTCAGGTGTGTCTTTATCAGCAGCATGAAAACAAACTAATACACCTGCTTTTCCTTTATAAGATGTGCAAGAGACAGACTTGCCACACATCTTTTACATGACAACAGAAAACTATTTCTTGAATGCATACTTTTACTAGCTAATAAAACACATGAAAGTCACTACTTTTAACATATAAAGATAGAGTCAACAAATATAATAAAATAATGTGGTAATTTGGAGTGTATAAATTATGCTCAAACAAACTTGAACCCAATTATAACTTTAACATCATAATAAGAGAGAGAACTCAGAATTTATGTGATTACCAATGCAAGTACCCAGCACCATAGAATAAATATTTCTATAAACAAACAAATGAACAGGAACTCTGAATCAGATTAATACTTTACAGATTTAGGGGAAATGTAGGGGAGAGAGGGTGAGACTGGCAAAACTCAAAGTAAGGGGAACTGTACAGTACAAATCATCTTTTTTTTGGTTGTTGTTGTTTGTTTCAATAAGAATTTCAAGAAATAGAAATAAAAGAGGATGTATTTTAAATGGCAGGGAAGAGACAAGAAAAATATGTGAAATTTTTAGTAAACAAAATAACAGAAATCAGTAAACAATTGGGAGAACTGAGCACTGGTTAGTTTGGTTAATATTTGATGCTGTCAAGAATTAACTGTTAATTTTTTAAATATTATGGTATTATTATTTAAAGAATTCATATATTTTAGATATTTACAGAGGATGTTATTTGATGTATTAAAATAATACAATTATGTAGGTAAGCAGAAAACAAGATTTGTCATGATCTACTAATTATTGAAGTGTTGGGGGTATGGAACAGGAACGTTGGAATTTCTTATAATATTCCATGTCAGTGCCGGTTACATAATTTTTCTTAATAAAAATTTCAAGAAAAAAAAGCTAAAGAAAACATAAAAGGAAACTTGATGGCCATGGTTCTTTAGCTTTTGTATGGAACTAGTCTTAAATGTAAAGGAATGTAAACCTTGGCAATCCTTGGAGAGGGAAAGGATTATTAGCATCCATGCAAACTGGAAAGCTTATTGTCCATTTATTTTAAAATAAATGCTGATATTTATATGTTCCTTACATTTTTCATACTTTAAAATAAATAAAATGATATTTTATTTCTAATAATTGTCATTTATATTTTTGGCTTATTTATACTTCTAGCACGCCACTTCAAGCCCTAGGTATAGGTATAGTCAGTGTGCACATATGTAGCAGTTGAATTACCAGATATTTGATTTTGTGAAATGCATTTAGTTTCCCGTATCTCATTACTCTGATGTTCATAACTAGGGTGCTCCATATATATATATATATATATATGTGTGTGTGTGTGTGTGTGTGTGTGTGTGTGTGTGTGTGTGTATGTGTATATATCTATATATATATATATATTTTTTTTTTGAGACAGAGTTTCGCTCTTGTTGCCCAGGCTGGAGTGCAATGGCGTGATCTCGGCTCACCGCAACCTCTGTCTCCCGGGTTCAAGCGATTATCCTGCCTCAGCCCCCCAAGTAGGTGGGATTACAAACATGTGCCACCATGCCTGGCTAATTTTGTATTTTTAGTAAAGACATGGCTTCTCCATGTTGGTCAGGCTGGTCTCAAACTCCTGACCTCAGGTCATCCGCCTGCCTCAGCTTCCCAAAGTGCTGGCATTACAGGCGTGAGCCATGGTGCCCGGCTGGGTGCTCCATATTTTTATTTTTTTCTATCTGTATTGTATTTCACTGTTTTTATTTTTATAAAGAGTAATGATTCTTAAACTGAGACTCTGAATGTCTAGTTTTCCACAATATTTAAAAAGTCTGATATTCCAATATCAAAAAATCTAGATTGTTATTTGGTAATAACTTTATTTTGGTATGAAGACATTTTTAAAACATGGCTCTATGGAGAAAATAATTACCTCCTTGGTGCTAAAAATGTAAAGGATTATTTATACAGAGTATGCTGAATGCTTTAAAACAGAACTATTATTAGATTATACCTCCTCATATGTAGTCCCTGTATTTTAGTATTGTCACCATTTGTCTTGAATATTTTCATTAATAAAAACCTGTTATAACTGACTGAAATAAAGATAATTTATATTTAGGTAGTCAAAACATTTAAAGAGTGGATTGCAATCTGCTATGGGGTCTCAAACATAGTTGTGCTTCTTCCTAAGTATCCATAGCCCCTTTTTGCTGTTTACGCTGATTCCCAAGAATAAGGACAAAACCCAGAAGTGCAGCTTTTTCAATTTCTTCTTCCTTTCAACTTATAGATAAGTTAATCAATGACCTCCCATTAGATCTGCCTCCAAGGGTATGGTACTATTGTCTTACTAAATGATGGAGATATGGAGAGCCTGAGAAGGGGGAGGGCAGGTGAAAAAGTTCTGGAGAATAAGAGAGGAACTGTGTGAAACATATGTGAGAGTGTCAGAGAGGGAAAGAGCAAAAGTGACTTTAAAGCAAAAAGAAAATCCTTGTTGGTTAAACGTTTACTGATTAGGAGATTAGGGAATGAAAAAATAAAAAACAAGAAAATCATGTGATATTTAAAAATCTTTGAAAGACTTTCCCTTCCCTTGGTGATTCACATACTATCAGCTATCAGAGGTCAGCATGACGTAGGGATAATTGCTAGTAATTTGCTTGTGGTAATTAAGAAAGTTTAAAGAGATACTTCCAGATAAATCAACAGCAAAGCATTAATGACAGGTTGGAAAGACTGGAGAGATCAGAGTCACACAGGAAACGCACAGTTTGTTATTATAGTTGTCCAGCCCACTTACCAAAGGAAATTATAAACTATGATTTTTTTTAATCTAAATCTAAAAACACAGTTAGAAGATGGGTTGTGCTGCAAAGATGACCTTTCTCTTGAGAAAAGGGGTAACTTGTAGTTCCTCATAATAGCTATAGTTTTAAATGTTATATGATTAAGTATCATTTGAGAAGCTTGTTTAAAAAGCAGACGCCTTAGTCTTTAGACCCTTGCAAATTTTATGATTCAATGACCTTGGGGTGGTACCCATTTTTTGTTGATCTGTGTACCACAACTTTAAAAATACTTTTCTAGAATGAGGTTTCTCAATCTCAGAACTATTGACATTTTGGCCCAGATAGTTCTTTGTTGTGGGGAATTGGTTTGTGTATTGTAGGATGTGATGTGTTTCAGCACATGCTATCCCAAAATATGGCACCTTGGTATTTGAAAAAAAAAAAAAAAAAAAAAAAAAAAAAACAGTAGAAGTTGGAAGTTCTCTCTGACTTTCTCCCTTGCAGCAGGGCATAAAACAATTCTCTGGGCCGGGCGCAGTGGCTCCTGCCTGTAATCCCAGCACTTTGTGAGGGCGACACGGGTGGATCAAGAGGTCAAGGGATTGAGACCATCCTGGCCAACATGGTGAAACCCCCTCTCTACTAAAAATACAAAAATTACCTGGGCATGGTGGTGCCCACCTGTAGTCCCAACTACTCAGGAGGCTGAGGCAGGACAATCGCTTGAACCCAGGAGGCAGAGGTTGCAGTGAGCCAAGGTCACACCACTGCACTCCAGCCTGGCAACAGAGCTAGACTCTGTGTCAAAATAAATAAATAAATAAACAAATAAAAATAATTATCTGATCTTCCTCTAAAGTAATTCATAAAACCTTTATTCCAGAGGGTCTGTCCTATCCTAAACGTGGAGGAAAGTAATGTCCTTATTTCTGAAGACACTGAGACACAAAGAAGAATCTGAATAAACAGGGCTTGCTAAATTCCATCCTCTACCCTTTCACCCCCTCATCCCCATTTATTACTATTAGATCAGACCCTTTCGCTCTCCAAACAAACTTCTCTACAGCTGTCCATGAAAAACATAGCTTTCCGTTTCTTCATTTCTGAAGGCTCCCGTGTTACTTAAAGCTTGTACAAAATAAGTACAATAATCTGTAGGCTTTTCTCTTGTTAATCTGCTTTTTGTTATACGGGAGTCTCAGCCATGAACCTAGCAATTGGTGAGGAAATACATCTTTTCTGTGCTACAAAAGTTTAGCAGC
Source organism: Homo sapiens (assembly GCF_000001405.40). Lineage (NCBI taxonomy): Eukaryota > Metazoa > Chordata > Mammalia > Primates > Hominidae > Homo > Homo sapiens. The sequence continues at coordinate 55,336,954 of NC_000010.11, forward strand.
ACCATTGGCCTCTACCCACTAGATGCCAATAGCAGCCCTGACCCCAACTCCCTCAATTGTAACAGCTAAAAGTCTCTCCGTTCAGTGTCAAATACCCACGAGTGCATAATTGTTTCCAGTTGAGGATCTCAGAAAGTATAAGGAGTTTTAAGGCAGAGTCTGGTATTTCAGAAACACAAAATAAGAAATACAGAGCCTCAAGATGAAAAATAAAACTAAAATCTCAGATGATAAAATGAAAAATAAAATAGGCAGAAGAGTGGGTTGGGTTGGAGAAAAAAATTATGGTTCTACTGGAGCCAGATGGTGAATATGAAACTTTTCACACAGAAAATTATTTCCACAAGGACAGTTGTCTGTAATGTCACATAACAGCAATACTGAGAGGAATCATACCCAGGGTCGAGAATATAAAAATGCATTGCTGACCTCAAACTTCATCAGTATGCCTGATGTGTTATCCCTTGTCTCTGCTTCCAAAGCCCCATAGATTAAACTAAATCCATTTATTCCTTCTTCCAATTTATAATTGTAATGTGGGAAATAATGATATGAAAGGAATCGGATATTAACTGTAGTAACATACTAGAATGTATGGTCCTTGGCAAGGGATTAGTTTATAAATTTTGTATCAGGCATTCTGATTCGGCAAAGTGTACTTTGGATAGGGTAAAAAAATTCAAAGGTACTTATTAATAGTTTCATATCAGTCTCCACATGTTGGTCTCTAATAATATATTAGAAAGCTCTGTTGTAGGACATGACCTTTTCAACATTTATCAATGAGATTAGTAAAGATGTAGAAGGTGCATTTATCACATTTTCCATAAATGAAAAATTTAAGGGATAGTGGTGACAGAATAAAAATATCCTAAGTAGGTATAAGAATGAAAGGAAATAATTAACGAAATATAGAGACAATTCACAGAATGGGAGAAAATCTTTGAAAACTATCCATCTGACAAAGGCTTAATAACCAGAATATATTAGGAGCTCAAGCAATTCAATAGGAAAAAAATAGTCTAATTAAAAAATAGCAAAAGATCTCTAGACATTTATCAAAAGAAGAGATACAAATAGCCAAAAACTATATGGAAAAAAAGCTCAACATTAATAATCATTAGAGAAATGCAAATCAGATTACAATGAGATATCATCTCACCCCAGTTAAAATGGTTTTATCCCAACAAGAGGCAATAACTAATGCAGGAGAGGATGTGGTGAAAGGGGAACTCTCAAACACTGTTGGTGGGAATGTAAGTTAGTACAACCACAACAGTATAAACGTCCCTCAAAAAAACTAAAAGTAAAATTACCATATGATCCAGCAATCCCACTTCTGGGTATATATCTGAAAAAAAGGAATCAACATGGTGAAGAGATACCTGCACTCCTATGCTTATTGTATGACTATTCGCAATGACCAAGATATGGAATCAACTGAATTGTCTATCAACAGATAAATCAATAAATAGCAGGTAGTACACATACACAAAAGAATATTATTCTTAAAATCCTTATTATTAAAATCCTGGCTGGGGACAGTGGCTCACGCCTGTATCCCAGCACTCGGGGAGACCAAGACAGGCGGATCACTTGAGGTCAGGAGTTCAAGACCAGCTTGGCCAACATGGTGAAATCCTGTCTCTACTAAAAATATAAAAACTAGCTGAGAGTGGTGGGGTGCACTTGTAATCCCTGCCACTTGGGATGCTGAAGCAGGGGAATCGCTTGGACCCAGGAGGGAGATGGCAAATGTTGCAGTGAGCCGAGACCATGTCACTGCACTCCAGCTCAGGTGACAGAGACTGAGACTCCATCTCAAAAACAAAACAAAACAAAAAAACAAACAAACAAAATCCTTTGATTGGCAACAACGTGGATGGAACTGGAGGACATTATGTTAAGGGATGTAAGCCAGGCACCGTAAAACAAATGTGGCATGTTCTTATTCACATGTGAAAGCTAAAAATAAAGAAGAAGAATAAAAGAAAGACTACTCTGGAGTAGAATTATTGTTACCAGAGGCTTGGAAGAGTAGCTGGTAGAGGGGGTAAAGATAGGATGGCTAGTGGGTACAAAAACACAGTTAGATAGCATGAATAAGATTTACTATTTGGTAGCACAATAATGTGATCATAGTTAACAAGAATCTATTATGTATTTTAAAATACTGAAAGAGTAGAATTGGAATTTTCTTAACACAAAGGAATGGTAAATGCTTGTGGTTCTGAATATCCCAATTACCCTAATTTAATTATTACATACTGTATGCCTGTATTAAAACATCACATGTGCCCAATAAATACATACAACAATTATGTAACCATAACAATTAACAACAACAACAACAACAACAACAAAGAATTTACTACAATGAGGACATTTGGAGTAACCTGCTGTCGGACCAAGGATCTAGTAATGAGGATATAGGATAGTGAATTCTGGTTCTGTACATGGAACATGTATAAACAAGATGTAAGGGTTCCATTGAAATAAAACAATGCATTTTAACAGCATAGTGGAAATACAAAAATGCCAGTGTATTTTTAGTTGCATTAATCAATGTATACATAACAGATACAAAAGGTTTTTCTATGCTGCATTGGTTAGATCCCATCAAGAGTTTTATAAATAGTTTCAGGACACATAAGAAAAATAACATTGAGAAATTAGAACACACCCAGGACTCTATAAATAAAATGATAAACTGTTTTGAAGCCATCTTACAGAGGGACTGATTGACAGTCCAGACTATAAAATAGCAAATCGGATCTTACCAGCTTTTAGTTAATAATTGGCCACTCGAGTCTAATTTTAAATAAAAATTTATGAAAAACACTTGAGTACATGGAAAGGTGTATAAAGAGAAATCAGTATTAAGCCAAGTATAATCTAACTTTATTGTTTTCTTTAGTCCACTTTGACTAAGGAGGGAGCTTGCTCCACCAATGAAATCTTACCTGGAAACATTAAACAAAGAAAAAAAAAACCCACAAATAGTTGTTTTTTGAAAGAGAAAGATAAAGAGACTGTCGTATCTTATCTACACAATTCTGTAGAGCATTATACAAAAGTAACTCTCATTAATTGAATTGTATATTTTTAAATTTCCATTTAGTATTAAGAAGTTAATATTTAAATAGAAAAAAGTATAGATTCTACAAAATATACATATAGACACCCATGTATAGACACACATACATATATATAGTACCAATATACTTTATGTAAAATATAATCTGTATAATTGTATATATATAAAATACATACACATACTAATGTAATATATACATATATTACATTTCATATATCTTATATATGGTATTTTTACATTTATTATGGTCACCATAAGAGCACATAACCTGGTTTACATGGAACAATGTTGGTTTATACCTGTAGCACTGGAGTGATTGTTGCAGCATCTCCTACACCCAAAATTATCCTGGTATAAATGATAAAGTATATGGTTTTCTTATGATGGGAAGTTAATCATCTCATACTAGACTACTCAGTGTGCATTTGTTATGTTTCAGGGAATATGCCACAATCACATAAAACTTCACGTATCTGCATGGATTACTGCCTTTGAGAATTTTTTTAATTATGGAAATCAGCAATATAATATATTCGTGTACAACAAATATCTTATTTTTAGTAATCTTCTTTCCAAGAAATAATATTATTAACTTAATAAATAACTAAAGCAGATCAGAAAATCAAGAATCTTTTCTCTCAATATAAAAATAAGAGTGAAAATATTTTATATTTTATTAATGATAGCATGAAGTATGATAATGAATCTATGAGATTTTGTAATATTTCAGCCAAATGAGTTTTATGTAACAAACATTTATACTTCTCAAGATTAAAGAAATTTAATGGATTTATTGTGCCTAATAATTAAAGGCTGATTTGATAAGCTCAGTGACTTATTCATTTAGAATACATCTTACGATTCACATTCTTATAGACTATAATTTGTCAAAATACCCCAGGATTCCAAAATTTACACAATTTGAAATCTCATTTTCTTTTATTTTGTTTTCTTTTTCACTCTGGTAGGACCTTTAAAGCTTTTCATTCACCTTCAATTTTTTAAATCACATCAAAGCTCTTAGTAGTAAATTTAATTAGCCAAATAGTGGAGATTAATTGCTTAAATAATACATGTCAAGATATAATACCCTTGGTACAAAATCAAGCTCTTACACATTATATTTAAAAGCCCTTTCTTTCACATTTAAAGGCTACTATAATTCCCTACGGTACCTATCAACAATAGATTCATCTATATACACATTTATCCTATGTAAAATTAATTTTAAAAACACATAAGCAATAGAAATAATATCATTTATGAAAAAAGTCTTTACCTATAATATTTTTGAAAGTAAGTAACTATCATACTCAATGACAAATTGGAATGTTATAAAATGGGAGAATTTAACAAGAATTTGATTTTTAAGCTAATGATAGTAATAAAAGTATTTATTCAGTAATTGCCAATTTAATCAATAATTATTCTAAATGCTTTGCATGTATCAACTTTGTATCAATTTCCAAACCCATCTTATGAGGTAGACACTATTATTTTTTCTCATATTCTAGATTAGCATCCTTTTTTTTTTTTTTGAGACAGAGTCTCTCCCTGTCGCCTGACTGGAGTGCACTGACGCGATCTTGGCTTACTCCAACCACCCGCTCCCGGGTTCAAGTGATTCTCTAGCCTCAGCCTCCCGAGTAGCTGGGACTACAGGCATGCGCCACCACGCCCAGCTAATTTTTTTTGTATATACATACATATGCATATATATATATATATATATATATATATATATATATATATATATTTTTTTTTTTTTTTTTTTTTTTTTTAGTAGAGATGGGGTTTCACCATGTTGCCCAGGATGGTATCCATCTGACCTTGTGATCTGCCCACCTCAGCCAGCCTAAGAGCTGGGATCACAGGCAGGAGCCACCCTTCCCGGACACAACTTTTTTTTTAATTGATCAAGTTTTGGATTATCAATTAGATTTGAACAGGATTAGAGCACTAGTAGAACAGATATTAACATCAGCCAGGTCAAAAAATTAATATTTCCAAGAAAATCAATCTTTTCATTTTATTTGAATATGTATATTGTTAATGGCAAAAATAAAATTTTATTTTCCCTGAATCAATTTTTTTAATATTTCTTTTTAGTAGCATTGTTTCTATTTTTCCTTTGTTTTGTGAATGACCTACAAGATTATACCCATTTTTTCAAATTTCTTTAGATCAATTATAGGATTAATACAATTGGGAAATCATTATTTGAATCTTATGATTAAACTGTACATTATATTAAAGCACATACAATGTTATAAAGCATTTAATTTAAAAGTAGTTTATATAATTTGTTTTATCTGTCTTTTCTAATATTCTAGAAATTGGAGAAATTATATTAGGTCATAGAATTGTGCATAGTAATATTAATTTGTGTTTGTTTTACTTTTTATTATTTATTTATTTATTTTTTAGTTTTTAAATTTTTTAAAAGGTGGGGTCTTGCTGTGTTTCCCAGGCTGGCCTCAAACTCCTGGGCTCAAGCAATCCTCCTGTTTCAGCCTCCAAAGTAGTTGGGACTACAGATGTGAATCATTGTGCCTGTGGTTGTTTTAAATAGATAACCAGGCTTTTAATTTCTTGTCACACTGATTTTGGCAGGACTAAAATTAGAAGCAGCCTCTCTCCTGGTCTTAAAATATGATGGACTCCTTAACAAAATTCTCCCAGTGTCTCACAGACTCTTCTTTAAGGGAGATGAAAAGTACCTCTGAGAAGAAATAAGCTGAGGAGGGCACATTTCTGGAGACTAGAGAGACAGAAAAGGTGGTATTTTGTTTTATAAGCATCAGGGACTTGAGTTTTGTCTGTTCTCCAGAAGGACCTGAGAGTGTAAGGGCTGTGAGCTGTTTCTAGGAAGCCTGAGTCCTTGCAGTATGATGGATCTCATAACCAAATTTCCTATACTCCAAATTTGGAATGGGAAAACCAAATGCATAGAGGCATAAGGGACCATGCAGGACACAACAAAGTGCTTTTCAACAGAAACCAATATGGGTCTCTGAACAAAAGGACCTGACAAAGTATCTTCCTGGACTTATGCACAATTTTAGCAGGCCAAGTTGGGTGGGAGTGAGTAGAACATTTAATGACTAGATATGAGTTTATAGCCAGCTTGAAAGGAGAAATTCTTGAAGGCAGAATCAGGTAATTTACCAAACTAAGGAATTAAAAGATGTTTTCAGTTGTGTCAGAGTGAAATGCATGCTGTCTACAATTGTGAAAAACAGAGATATATGTATGCTATCAAAAACAAAAACCAACTTTTATTCTAGAGTTAATTGATGGTATGACCTGGAATTGAAATGGTAACATCATTAGAGATGGCCTTTACCTCCTTGTACTTTTCTCCATCTGTTCTATTCTCTGCCCTCTACCAAATATCTTTCTCTCTTTACTCAGGCTTCTTTTTTCTCTGATCTATTATCTTTTCACATGTCACCTCTTCTTACCTTATTTATATCATAATCTTCCTTTTCCCCCCCAATATAACTGGCAAGATTCCTGTAGTTAACAATTCAAATATCTGAAAAAGAGATTCTAATTGATTCAGCCCATCTTGAAAAAAAAAAATCACATGCCTAAGGTCTTGGGTCACTAAATAATATGTGTATTGACTGGTGGTGTAGCTTGTATCCAACTCTGATCAATTGGTATTAGCTGAGGGTGGAAGTAAATGATTTACATGGTTTGAACTTTTATTAACTTATTCAAACAAGGAAACAAATAACTATTGAACACATATTACGTGCCAGGCATGTTCTATGCACAGTCAATAAAATAGTTAGAAAAACAGAAAAAAACTCAATGCCTTCAAAAAGCTTACATGGTAAATTTTAAAATAACCACATTTAATATGTTAAATATATTGAATGATATTTGGCGGAGGTTGCAGAGAAAAATAAAGCATAATAGGTGATAAAGAGGAGGTGTTATAATTTTAGGTAGGGTGAATGAGGAGATATTTATTGGAGAGGTAGTATTTGAATACACAATTTAAGGAAGTGAGCAAACAAGTCATAGAGATACCAGGCAGAAAAGCCTTACAGGAAGAATGAGATGAAATATATATGTATTCAGATGGAAGTGTGCTTGGCAATATTCAAGGAATATTAAGAAGTCCACTGTGGCTGCAATGGGGTGAGCCTGGAAGAAATGATAGGAGTATATGTTTTGTAAATCATTGTGATTATCTTGGCTTTTAATCAGAGTTATATAGATAGCCGTTAGAAAATTTCCATCTGAGGATACACACATTTGGATTTTGGTTTGAAGAGATTTCTATTCTAGCTACTATTTTATGAATAAAATTCATGGGGTTCAGGGGAAAGCAGAGAGATAAATTAGGAGTTTATTGCAGTAATTTAAAGCAGAGATGACAGTGACTAGGACCAGAACAATGAGAAGGGGTCAAACACACTTTGAAGTTAAAATCAAAACTTTTCACTAACAGATTTTACATGATGTGGGAATAAAAGAAGACAGTCAAAGATTATCCAAAAGAGACTGTTGGTCCACGCAACTAGTAGGAGGGAATAGCTGTAAACTGAGGTGGGAAAGACTTGACAGAAGCAGCTTTAGAGGAAAAATAATCAGAAGCTCAGTTTGGGTCAGATTATGTTTGAGATATTCAACCAGAGATGGCTAATAGGCAGTTGATTATAGACTTCAAGGAATAGGTCCACGCTTGAAAAACAAATTTAGGAGTAATTACTGTATGGATTGGATTTACGGTTCTGTGACTGAAAGACACAATCAAGGGAATTCATATGCACTAAAGAAAAAAGGTCCAAGGATTGCACTCTGGGTCTGCCAGAGCAGAGAGGATAACACTATAAAGTTGTACTTAGAAAGCAGTAAGTAACATAATGCTACGTATTACAATAGTATTTTATCGACCCTCTTTATCTTCCTTTTGAAGGATTTTGCATAAATGTTTTCTGGGTCATGATCTAGGTCAAGCAAAAAAATCTCAGAATAGAGATTATTTAAGAAGTCTCTTACTATATCTCTATATCTCTCTGTTTCTTTGTATTAAAATCTCTCAAATATACTATGTCCTAAAAGTGTGTGTGTGTGTCTCTCTCTCTCTCTCTATATATATATATATGGTCAGAATTATAGTTATATTGATACTTATTTTTGATTAAAAAAGTTGTCTTTTAATCAACATTTTCAGGAAAATTCTATTTGCTAGCCATGACATAATTTAAAATATACCGAAAGCCAGTATACCCATTCATGGTGATGACTGGTGCATTCCTGTCTAAAAACAAGGAGTATATCTCAGTGTTTGAGGATGCTATATATCACCTCAAGGCTCTCAAAGTGCCATCCATCATCATGTTGTATAAAATGAAAGGTGAACCACTTTACTGTGAGAATAACTATATAGCACCACTTCAAAGCCCTAAGCCAGAGTTGAACTATGGCAATTCCTCCACCCTCTTGTCGGTCCTGTACTCTATAAATCAGACCTATATGATTGCTGAAAACATCAGCTAAAATTTACAGTAGTTTAAAAACTCAAGGATAGAAAAATCAAATTTTTTCAATTCTCATTTTATTTGCAATGGTACACTGTCCCTGATACTACTATTTTCTTGTGTTGTGTGATACTTTTTACTCTTGTTTTGAAGATCTTCATGTTTTGTATAACAACTTATTTTGCCTTCATAAGATGTTTTATTATTTGTAATATTCTTATACACTCTACTGAATAAATTTCCAAATTTTTGAGAGGATTTTTTTCAAGTTATACATATATGTAAGTCAAAGAAATTACATTTAGTTTTGTTATTAGTAACAGTAATATGATAAATAGTTTATAATGGTGTTTGCCCTGTTTATTGTGGATATTAACAGTCATTAGATTACTCACCATAATTAACCTATGAACAAACACTGGTAAGTAAGGATGGTATATAAAATAAGATGTAAGACTATTTCAAAAAAAACTCTAACAACACGCAGAATAGAATTGTGATGCCATACTCACAAACCTTAGCTAAACTAACAAATAACCTGCTATTTTTTGACACATGTAACACTACACAATAGCTCATTTGTCATTTCTAACCCACACAAATAAAACATATAAATACTTATATGGAAGAGGTAACAAATAGTCTTGATCAAAGAGCTAAACAGTTATAGATATTTAAAAAGTATCAAAGAAAAATGAACAAATCTGTTGGTCTCAAATATAGAAGTGTTGCATGTGTACACATTGCAATGAAGAAGACACTCTTTTTATCCAAAATTATGTCTGAATCTTTCTCCTACAATCAGAAATTCTATGTGGTCAGGAATATGGAAGTAGGAATGTAGCTTTATAATTGATCTTGATTTTCTTTGGAGGATCAGCTTTCCCTTAATTCTTATAATATACTCTGATTTTAATTTGGGGTTTATATGGATCCAGCAAAATTTATCATAGAATGAAACCTCCTTTAGATACATAAATTCCATTGAATGATCCAATGTCGAGCATGTTTTCAAACTGAAAACATTGAATCTCTGGACCTTTGCAGTGAATGCAAAAAGCAAAACAAACAAACGAATTACCCCACGCATTTTGGAATCATGCAATATGCGTTAAACTAAGCCCAGGTTATTCCTATCTTTGGACTTTTTTTTTTTTTTGCTCTACAATGAGAGGTTAATATATTAGTTTAAGATAGTCTAAATAGAGTATTATTTCTTGCAGACAGGAGCATTTTGACTGATGTAGGTCCACCTTGGCTGCTCACGGTTCCTGTGAGATGAAAGTTCAAGTGATTGAGAGCAGAGAATCCAGGAGAAGTTGGGATATTAGAGATATAGTCAGTACAGGTTACTATAAATTAGGAGGGTAAAAAGATTAAAGTGAGTTGGGCGCGGTGACTCACACATGTAATCCCAGCACTTTGGGGGGCTGAGGTGGGAGGATCACTTGGCTCAGGAGTTCAAGACCAGACTGGGCAACATGGCAAAACCCCATCTCTACAAAAAATAAAAAAAATTAGCCAGGCGTGGTGGCACATACCTGTAGTCCCAGCTACTTGGGAGGCTGTGCTGGGAGGATTGCTTGAACCTAGGAGCTGGAGGTTGTAGTGAGATGAGATCGTGCAACTGCACTCCAGCCTGGGAAATAGAGGGAGACTGGCAAATAAAAAATAAATAAATAAAAAATTTAAGAAAAAGAGTATAGTGGAAGTTTTTTTACATAAAGGGGAAGGCAGTTTACTTAAATGCAAAGCTATAAAATATGCTGAGGTAATCCTTAGGAAGTCAAGAGCTAGTGAACTGTTGGTTTTTACTTCAAACAGAAATAATTAACCTAAGCTAATATAGTTATTAACATTAAAGCCTCCTGAAACACATAAATAAGTACAATAAAACTAATTATCAATGGCTTAAGCAACCATAAATTATACACACACAAATAAATACATACTATTTTTCATTGTATATTTAATTCTTTTTAGGACAAAAATTAGTGGTTTAGTTCTACACATGTACTTCAGCAATAGGAGGCAGTCATTTCTATTTCATGTAAATTAATTACCCTAGGGCATTGAGAATGCTCCCAGGGTTGCATTGTTATAAATAATAGCTTCATTGAAAACACATTTAACCTGAATCTGATTATTTCATTGGTGAATTTCTACACATGAAATTGAAGGGTCAAAGTCTTTGTTTTATATATTTTAAACAAAATTATTTAAGTCTGTGCCCACAGGTCAACTAGAGAGCTGCCTGGGCAGGAGTCATTATAGAAATAATTGTTTAATACATGTTTTGCAATTTGAAAATCAAAATGTTATATTTCTTTTTATTTTTATTTGATTCTCATCAGCTAAAACTTGAACCTTTTATTTATAATATTATAATTTCTTATATCATACAATTGAATTGTAAGCCTAAGTCAAAACAAGGTCTTTGAAGTCTGCTTGGAATTTTTGATAATGTAGGGCAATTATTACAAATAATACAAAAATTTCCATGAGTATTTTTAAAAATTTTAATCACACAAGGAATACTTGGGCCCACATGCTGTACTAGAAGACCTAGTTATATATCTGCCTCTGTCATTGTCCCATGCTTCCCTTTCCAATATTATAGACATTTAGCTATTTAAATTTAATTCAATTTAAAAAATACAAAATATAATTCCTCAATTTCACAAGCCACATTTCAAAGGTTGAATAGACTCTTTTGTCTAGTGGCTACTATATGAATACACATATAGAATATTTGCATCATTGAAGAAAAATATATTGGAGAGTGTTGGTCCTGTTACGTGTGTTTGAAATAACACACAAATTCCATTCCTTTTTCCTGTGCTTTCTTTCATTCATTCCAACAATAATAACAATAATAACGAGGCCCTAATGCTTGCTGGAGACAAGAATTTGGTAATGAACAAACAAACCCCTGGCTTTGTGAAGAAAACAAACCCCTGCTCACATATATGGAAGGGAAGTAAATAAGTAAACACACAAACATAGTGTTTTATAGTAAGAAATACATTAAAGATACTAAAATTTAGAAAGTTGTATTAGTTAAGCTTGTCTGTGAAATATAAGAAGACTATCTTGGTAGAGACTTAAATGAAGAGAAGGAAAATAAAAACTTTAAGGATGTCTGTAAATGAAACATTCCCTGTGGAGGGAATAGTGCAAATGTGCTGAGACAGGGTTTTTCTTACTGTGGGTCAAGGAAGAACAATAATCCCAGTGTAACTGAAAGGAAAGAATGGTATCAAGGGCCAGATTACCTCCATGCTGCATCTTTGAAGTCCTTTAAAGGATTTTGGATTATACAATGAAATAAGAGAGAAAGCCATTGGAAACTTCCAAGCAAGAGGTGAGTAATTTCCTTATTAATGGCATCATTCTGTCTGTCTTGTGGAGAACAAAACATTGTGGACATGAGCAGGAATGGAAACAAAGCTACCAGAGAGATGACTGGGCAGGAGTCTAGGTGACAGATTGCATGGACTTGATCAATCTGGCAACAATGGAAGTGAGGAGAACTATTGGGTCTATTGAGAATGATGCATTCTCTACTGGATTTATTATGTCTCCCATGTTTCTTCTGTAGTCATGGACCAGGAAGACAGTGTCCAGAGACTTATATTGTGCTAGATTGTTATTTCTGTTGAGGTGTGAAGTCCCAGTGTCCTCTACCTTTCCTAATCACCAGTGCTAGAAGACCCTGCCAACTCTCAAAAGCACTGGGCTGTTTGAAAGTAATTCCAGAACCAATGTTCATAGCTAAACAATCATGAACAGGCTCAAGAAAAGAATAGTTTTCATGTATTTTTTCATTAAAATATTTTTCTAGTCACATTGACAGACATCTATTCACATCCTGTATCTTAATGACCATTTTTCTCTTGCCAGTTACAAAATGACTGCTTCCTGGTGCTCTTGTTTTTTCAAGATATAATGGTTACCATGGATACATCAATAGATTTTGGATATTTTGCTTTTTAGCTCTGAAAAATTACCTCTTCTCACAGCACATAACATATTGTGTAATGAAAATGAATTCAATGAGAGATCAAATGGTAACTAAAAAAAAGATACTATGAAAATAGTACATTAATAGAACATTTGCTGTAAATACGCAGGTTCAAATGCTCAAAGAATCTTAAAGCAAAATATTTATAAAGATTTTTCATTTTCATTATCCTATTGTAAGATAAAGAGAGTCATGGCAGAAAAGATAATCTGGCTGAATCCCTCTTTTGGAACTTTTGCCTTAGAGAGAGAGCATGCAAGCTATAAAGATATCTACAAATATTTTAGTATTAAATAAGTTGAAGAGTTTAACTCATGGAGGGAGATTCCAATAACTATATTGTTATCAGCTTTTTTTTACTTCCTTTCTACACTTGGTATAATAATCCATTCCATGATATATATAATCTGGTACCATCCAACTCACTCTACTATCCTTTCACCCAGCTCTAAGCCACTTCCTCTCAATTTTCTACAGAAGTAACACTCAATCCCTTTCACCATTTTTCCATATAGCAGACATTTAATGTTTTAGAGTATTGGTTCCAGAATTGATTCTGACACAACTATAAATATCTCCAAGGAAATAATTTATCATGAATGCATTCACACACAGGTGTGTATATGTAGGGGTGAATATATACCATATATAAACTCATATATATATATATATATATATATATATATATATATATATACACACACACACACACACATACATACACACACAAACATACATACATATCATTATTTAAATGATCTGAGTACTAGGAAGCCTCCTAGGCCACCAGGGAGGTAGGAAAGTGCGAATGGGTACTTTAGAATAATGACTAATTTTCAAAATCCTTTTTTTCTTAACCTCCTCTTCTAAAAGAGAGGAAAGATAATTCAGAGCAGAGGGAAGATAGATAAATAGATTATTATGACTTTATGGAGAGAAATATTAGAAATAAGGAGAATGAAGTGATGAAGAAACAGAACAGTACTGACATTCTAGAATTTCCACTTCTAGACATCAAGTGTTCAAATTGAGCATTCTGTTCATCGAAGATAGAAAATGGAGTTTTAAAAAACAAGCAGGTGCTGACTTTTACTAGAAAGTGTCAAATCAAAGGATTTTCACTGATAATTTTTTTCATGTTATTAAACCTAAATAGGAAAATTTTCTGAGAATTTTGGTGCAGCTCTAAAGTTGAAAAATTATCTGAATGTTTTATTTTTCTTTTCTTGTTTTTTTACACAGTATTTAGTAACATGGGAAATTCTCACACAACTGTTTGGATTCTACCAATTGGCTCTTCTCAATTGTTTAAAAATAAATCATAACATATCTGATTTAATCATATGTTTTTAAGTACGTGTGGTCCACATGTTTTATTATTTCTTCTTCTTCTTCCTCTTCCTCTTCCTCTTCCTCCTCCCCCTGTCTCCTCCCCCTCCCTCTCTCCCTGCTTCCTCCCCCTCTCCCTCCTCCCCCTCCCCTCCCCCCGCTGCTGCCTCCTCCTCCTCCTCCTCCTTCTTCTTCTCCTTCTTCTTCTTCTGCCATGTGTTAGACAAATTTAAACCTACCTAAAGAGTGGCTTTTCTTACTGTGTTTTCTCCTAATACTGTCTCTGCATTCTTCCAAACTACTTTCAAATTTAAAATATCTTATATCTTCTCATTCACTTCTCCTCCCTTTATGCGTGACTCATGAATACATCCTTTCAATGACAATTTTTCTATTTGAAATTGGCTTCAGAGGAAGAAAAAAAATAAGTGTTGTATTATCTCATACTTTTCAACTGTATTCAGTACTAAATTGATGCTTTTTCATCCACGATTCTATTCCTACTAACCTTATAAGTGGGACATAATCTGTGTTTTATGCAATTTCCATTATATCATTGTTGCTCAAGTAATCTGGAACATAAAACAATAATAAATAAGCCTTCTCTAGGGATTCAACAGTAATCCGCTTTTTCACTCTGATAAAATTAAGTCTTTATAATCCCCTTTTTGTTTCAAATTCAAACCAAGCCACTTCAAGTCTCTTTATTGTCATTGTTTGCTTTCTCCACTGAATTCAACTGTTTATCTCTTTGTCTGAGAAACTCATTTATTCTTTCGCTTGATATTGGTTCTTTTCATACTGACCATCCTACCATACACTGCTCCCAAATCTGTGCTAATGTTTGCTTTTCAAGGAATTAATGTTTTCCCTTTCAAATAATGTTAAAGTTGCTTTCATATGTAATTTAATCTTCTCCTAAGTAGTTTCCTTGATTCAACATCTCTGCGTGTTCCTGAATGTTAAGTCTCATTGCTCTCTTGTCAAAATTCCTATTATTTTACAAATACTGCTATTATTACAAGTACAATAATACTAATAAATTTTGAGAGGCTCTTATGTGCCACTTGTGGTGCTAAATACTTTGCATGTATCAATTATGTGCATTCTCTCCCTAAACCTTTGCATAAATATTCATCTTTTTATTGTTTATCAGTGAAAATCGGAGCTGAAAATGTTAATTACTCAACTTCAAAGAGCTAATGTTGGTGCAAAAATAATTGCAGTTTTTGCATTGTTGAAATTTACCATTTGATAATGGAATACATTTTTGAATAAATGTGGTTATATTATACATCACTTTAATATGTGTTTATCACTTTTTTTGCTAATGGCTTATTACTTGCTGTTTATTTTATGTTTATTTTAGACTATGGAAATTTTGTTAGACAAAAAGCAAATTTGAGTGATTTTCTTATTCGAGTTCAAAAACGGGTTGTAAAGCAGCAGAGACAACTTCAAACATGAACGATGCATTTGGCTCAGGAGTTGCTAATAATTTTACAGTGCAGTGGTGGTTCAAGAAGTTTTGCAATGGAGATGAGAGGCTGAAAGATGAGGAACATAGTGGCCAGCCATCAGAAGTTGACAATGAGCAGTTGAAAGCAATCATCGAAGCTGATCCTCTTACAACTACAAGAGAAGTTGCCAAAGAACACAATGCCAACCATTCTACGGTTGTTCAGAATTTGAAGCAAATAGAAAAGTGAAAAAGCTCGCTAAGTTGTTGCCTCATGAGCTGAGCGAAAATCAAAAAAGTCATCGTTTTGAAGTGTTGTCTCCTCTTATTTTAAGCAAAAGTAAGGCTCCATTTCTCTTTTGGACTATGATGTGTACCAAAAAGTGGATTTTATATGACAACCGGTGATGACCAGCTGAGTGGTTGGACTGAGAAGAAGCTCCAAAGCACTTCACAAAGCCAAACTTGCACCAAAAAAAGGTCATAGTCACTGTTTGATGGTCTGCTGCTGGTCTGATCCACTACGGCTTTCTTAATCCAGGCAAAACCATTACATCTGAAAGTATGCTCAGCAAATCTATGAGATGCACCAAAAACTGCAACACCTGCAGCTGGCATTGGTCAACAGAAAGGGCCCAATTCTCCATAACAACACCCGACTGCACATTGCACAACCAATGCTTTAAAAGTAGAACTAATTGGGTTATGAAGTTTTGCCTCATCTACCATATTCATCTGATGTCTGACCATCCGACTACCACTTCTTCAAGCATCTCTACAACTTTTTGCAGGGAAAACGCTTCCACAACCAGGAGAATGCAGAAAATGCTTCCCAAGAGGTCGTCAAATCCCAAAGCACAGATTTTTACACTATAGGAATAAACATACTCACTTCTCATTGGCAAAAATGTGTTGATTGTATTGATTCTTATTTTGATTAATATAGATGTGTTTGAGCCTAGTTATAATGACTTAAAATTCATGGTCTGAAACCGCAATTACTTTTGCACCAACCTACAAAGTGGCAGAGCTAGGATTTGAAGTCAACTGGAGAATGTTAGTGGAAAGAGCAAGTGTTGGTTATTAAATAAAAAATATCCTGGTTCTAGACCAGAAATTTGAGAGAAATTTTACAGAAATTTTACAGAAAAATAAAACTGATATTCCTACCTTAAAGGCAGTGTGTGAAAGAGCAGGCAAGTGTATACAGTATCTCTTTGTCAACTTTAGATCTGCTTGGCCTCACATATTTATCATACCAACAGTTGCTATAGCACTGAGTCCTGTGTGGACTCTAATAAAGTTCAGGCAGATGCAACCTGACTGAGTCTTGTTTCATAACCTCATCACACATCACATACCTTGCACTTCTACCTCAAAGGCTCTTCTGATGATCATAAAGCACACAACAGTACAAAACCCTCCTTGGTGCCTAAATATCTACGATTGCAGGAGTACTGTCCCGTGGGTTGTATATTTGATCAATGAAAATGTGAAAGTGAGTGGATAAATGATTTCCTTTCTCTCTTATAAAAATCTTGTTCTAACATCATTATTTGTCTTACCTTCTTGGACACTGCTTGTATTCAGCAGTTGATAGCTCAGAGACGATTCTTTATATTTGATCTTCATATTTCCTTGCCCAACACCCCTTCACCCTCACTCCTGATGCCTGAGATTCCTAATACAACTTATGCCCTCGTCTGATTTTTGGGGAAACCAAGAATAGAGTTGGAGCCACATAGTGATAGTTTATTCCAAAATATCACTGAGTAAAGTAAAACAATGAGACATACAATGGTAATTATATCTCACAGTAAACTAGATATCATATCCAGATTTTGACCTCCCATCAGTTTGGATACCTGTAACCAACCTCTGCCTCTATCACCCCATTACTCTGATCCCTGAAAACAATCATTTGATATATGTGGAGTGAGAGTCAAATATAAAATGTTTGGTTTGTGTCACACATTGAGCTTAATAATGAGAATTCCGAATTAAATAGGGCACAATCGGACTTAAAGCAGCTCAGGGTACAATAGAGAAACAGAGATGTCAATTAATAAATAACAATACAACAGGATAAGTATAAAAGTTTGGGTTACCGACGACCTCATATTTTCTCAAATCATTTTCCTAATATTCATCTTCTACAACACTACCAGGTAGATTTCAATAAGATAATTATCCTTTTATTCACATAAGTCATAAACAGTTTATAAGAATATGTGTTAAAAATATAAATTCCTGAGTCTATATTCCTGACTTACTGACTTAACATTCATCAGTGAAATTCAGACAATTCATAATAGGGCTGCTTTCAAATCCTGGCTGTGCTTCAGAACTAGAGAGCTTTTTGGTTGGTGATTTTGTTTAATTTTAATTTTTAAATTAACATAAAATAAAATATTTTTGCGGAATGTACAGTTTTATAAATATTAACACAAGTATTGATTTGTGAATTGTGAATCTACCACCAAAATCAAGACACAGAGCAATTCTATCACGGAAAAAATCACTCAGGCTTACCCTTTGTAGTTACACCTTTCTCCCATCCTTACACTCTGGCAACCACTGGGATATTCTCCCTCCCAATAATTTTATCATTTTGATAATGTCATTTAAATGTAATTGGAAAGGAATTAACTTTTTAAAGACTGTCTTATTTCATTTAGGAGAATGCCTTTGAGGTTTACCCAAGATGTTATATTTATAAATAGTCCATTCATTTTTATTTCTGGGTAGTATTCCAATGCATGGAGGTATCACACTTTACTTACTCATTGCCCCACTGCTGGACATTTAAATTGTTTTCAGTTTTTGATGATTCTGAATAGAGCTGCTACAAACATTTGCATGTAGATTTTTGTGTGAAAATCAGTGTTCATTTCTCTAGATAAAGTAAATGCCGAAGATTGGATTGCTCGGTCACATAGAAAGAGTACATTTAACTTTATAAGAAAGTGATCGAGTGTTTTCCAGCGTCCCACCAGCATTATTCAAGTATTCTCATTTCTCCACATCCACATCAGCATTTGGTGTTGTAGTTTTGTTTATTGTGTGTGATATTCTCATAAGTATGTGATGGTGCCGCAACATGGTTTTAATGCATTTCCCTGATTACTTATGTTGTCGCACATATTTTCATGGGCTAATTTCACACATTTATATCTTCCTGGGTTAAGTGTCCCAGGTCTTTTCCAATTTTTAAAAAACTGAATTTTTACTTTGTTTCTATTTGTTACTGTCGAGTGTTTCGAGTTCTTAATATTTTTGTATACAATTCTCTTGTTAATATGTGACTTGCAAACGTTTTCTCTCAGTTTGTAGCTTGTTTCCTCTTAATAGTGCCATTCACATTAAAAAGTTTTCTTTAACTTTTTAAAAATGTTGATTACTGGTGAAAGATTTAAATTATACACATTATAGTTTCCAACCCACTTTGACCTACTAATCATAACATCTAGATGTGACATCCAAGAATATATATTTTAAAAATAAAACTTTCCATGTGATTCTTAACCTGGATTAACATGCTTTATTCCAGAGTAAGGTCAGCAAATAATATGCCAAGACATATTTTCCTACACACCCTTGGCTACTTTATCGAACATCACAGATTTAACAATAACTTCTCTGTTTGTAACTCTGAAATATTTAATGTTCTTGATCTCTCATAAACCAGGTATATGCTGGATATGTAGCTCCAACTACATTCTACTAATTCCGACACAACTAATTAAGTGTTCAACAATTTGAAGTCATTATTAACTGCAAATTGCTGCCCTGTGTTCAGCCCTTTTTTTGTTAATTTCTCAACACCTAGTATTATAAAAAAATTGAAAACTAATAAAAGGGAAAGAAATAAAAAAAGAAAGATGAAAGAAAAGAATGAGAGAGGGAAAGAATAAGAGATGGGAGAAAGGAGAGTGGCAAGGAAGAACACAAAGAAAAAAAGGAGAAGAGGAAAAAATGAAAGAAAAGAGAATAATAGTTTACAGTTCTCTTTGATCCTCCACTATTTTTGCCTCAAACAGTGGTTATGACTTGCCACTGAGGAGCTAATATTGGTAATAGGATGGACATAAAAAACATGGCCTGGTAAGTTTTATTTTTGTTTTTGTTTTTTCTGATCTCATCAGCCTGAATCAGAGGGATGATAAAAATTTAAATATCTATAAAACAAAGGTATGCTGAACAAAAGAAACACAGAATTGATTCGTTCATTTATTCAATCACTCATTTTTAAAAATATTTAAGCTCTATGAAATTGTGTATTATAAAAATAACAGACGTTGTTTACTAGATATCTGGAATGATACTAAATACTTTTCATTTATTAACCAATTTAGTTGTTATAATTACCCTGTAAGATATGTGTGTGACTATATTTATTTTTCAGATGATTAAGCTGAGACAGACAAATAAGTAACATTCCGAGATTACATCATTTGTAGTAGAAGACTCAAAATTGTATTCAGTGTTCTGTTTACTTCCAAGGCAGTGCATTTAGCTATAGTTTTTGGCCTTTGCTATGATTCCCTTTGTATGTAGATTAAAGGTACACCTCTACTTTTCATATTCTGAAACTTCAAGGAAAGTTCTGCAGGCAATTTAAAAATGAGGAAACACATAGTGCCCTGTAACACCAATATGTTAAAGATTAGAGAAAATATGTGTAGAGAAAATCACTTGAACAGTTTGCTCTGTGAGCAAGAGTACATAGCAACAAGTACAAATGTGTAAAAATAAAAAATCGCTGGGCAGTTTAACCAGAAAAAGATGTAAACAAGTCAAAAGCTTAATACTTTTTGAAAAATGAAATTATATTGAAAAATTCAAACATGAATAAATCTATTTCCTTAATCTTATCTATGAAACATAAATATACAACAAAAGTATTTAGAATATTTTTTAAACCACTGCATTAAAAAAAATAAGATTCTAGAATAAAACACAGATTGGCCAAACTTTTTAACAGAATTAAATTGTGTGTTTCCCTGCACTTTTTTAGTGTGCAACAAAGAATACTACACAGAATTAAATCTCTAAGGTAGAAACTTTCAATAGAAGGAAGTGAGGAGTGGACTGTGAGGGTCAATTCCGATTCTACCATCAGTTAGCTATGTCATCTGGTTTTATTTATTAATTATCTTATTATACTCAATGTTTTTTAAGTGTCAGGGATAGTAGTACCTTCCTTTAGAGATTTTTGGGAAAGATTGAATTAGACAGTATCTATAAAATGCTCTTTGTAGTATCTAGCACATAACTACTTCTAATAAATTGTAGCATTAATTTATTCTATATACATATTCATCTATAATAAGACTTATCTCAGGTTGACCAGTCACACATTAATATAAAGCATATGCCAGCCTATAGAGATTGTAAGAAAACATACTTTTGGTGGTATTTGTCTGAGCTTTGTTAATCCTAAATAAAAAGTGCTCAAACTCAATACATCTCTAGTTTCTACTGCCCCCATACATTTCAGTGTTTCCCAAAGATAAATAAAATGAATTATATGATAATCATTTAGATCCTAAACATATCATTTATAAACCAACAGAGATAGCAAGCACCTGGTGCCAAGAAAATCACTCTTATTGGGTGGATTTCCATTTGCAGAGACTGAGAAGAATATTAGCATAAAGCAGCCCAACACAAGAGTAAAAGCTATTTTAATGCTTTGAAGTGGGGGTGAAGAGCTCTCAAATCCAGTACTGGGTTTATTAACAATCATTGGCATTGGCCCTGTAAATTATAAGTTACGCATACAAGGAATATATCTGTAAACTGAACACTTCTTTCACTCCTTAAAGGGTACCTTGAGGATGATAATGCAAAACAGTGAAATTTAGAGGAAACATTTTGTATGATTTGAATAATTTGCATTATTTGATTCAGGCATGATTTGAATGATTTGCATGATTCTCTATTAGCAAGGATGGTAGAAATGTTAGTTATGTAAGGTTAATTATATGTATAATTAACCAAGAATAAAAATGACCTTCAGATAGTCTTATTTCAGCAAACAATATGCCAATCATTTCCATTTATCATTCCTATGAATGATTCTTCTAATTTGTCTTTGGTATCAGATGGTATTACACTCACAATACTTAGTTATATGTAATCATGTCCTACTATAGTGAATTTCAAGAGGATATCAGCATATCTCACAGAGTGTAGTTGTTGTAATAATATAATAGTTGCCACCTAAAGTAAAAGCAATCTACTTTTCACATTCCAACTCTTATCTTGGATAATTTTAATAAAATTATAAATATTCCCATTTTGCAGTAGATGGAATTTTGGTTTAAAGAAATTTAATGACTAATCTTTGCACATGTGTTAACAGTTACTGCCACCCACTGACACCGCAACTACATTCTGAATGTTGAAACAAAACAGGCTTATTTTTGCCAGAGATGAAAGTTGCTTATTAGTTTGCTTTTCGTAATAGTTCCAATTTACTTTGTGTCATTTTTAGGAAAAATAAGTGTCAGGAAAACAACATATAATTATTTAAAATATTTTAAGGACCATGCATGATGGCTCAGGCCTGTAGTCCCAGCGCTTTAAGAGGCTGAAATGGGAAGATCTTTCGAGGCCAGGACTTCAAGACCAGCCTGAGCAACATAGTGAGACTCCTTCTCTAAAAACAATAATTTATAAAAATATAACTAGGCATAGTGGCACATGCCTGGAGTCCTAGCTCCTTGGGAGGCTGAAGTGGGAGGATTGCTTATGCCCAAAAATCTAAGCTGCTGTGAGTTAGGGTGGCACCACTGCACCCCAGCCTGGGTGACAGAGTGAGACTGTGTTTCAAAAAAAAAAGTAAAATAAATTAGTTTTTTTTTTAAATGGCACAAGTATACTAAAATCCCCTTGTGAATAGTCAATATATCCATTACATATTTGAGTTTGTATAAATTTTAAAATGTGCTATAATTATGCTCCATATTTATCTTCTCTTCATGCCATCCTTTAATGAAAATTTAGCTGAAATTCTTAAGACAGTTATGTTTTTGAAAATTATAACAATTTTTATATGTGCTGCCAAAGCAAGCATAGTGGTGAGGATGTGGAAAAATGGCAATTCATGTACACTATTGGTGGATATGTAAATTAGTATAGCCAATATGACAGTATGGCATTTCCTTAAAAAAATGAAAATTGAACAGCCACATGAACCAGAAATCCCACAACTGGGAATAAATTTAAAGGAAATGAAATCAGTATGTCATAGATGTCTGTATTCCCATGTTTATTCAGCATTATTCACAATCACCAAGATATATATTCAACCAAACTCCCTATCAATAGATGAACAAATAAAGAAAATGTGGTGTATATATATATATATATATATATATATACACACACACACACACACACACACATATATATATATAAACAATGAAATACTATTCAGCTTTTGAAAAGAAGGAGATTCTGTCATTGGTGACAATCTAGATGAACTTGTAGGGTTTTATGCTAAGTGAAATAAGCCAGGCACACAAAGACAAATAGCTCAGGACTTCACTTAAATGTAGAATCTAAAAAAGTCTAATTCATTTAAGCAGAGAGTAGAAAGGTGATTACCGGGGCTGGGAATATAGGAAAGGAATGAAGACACATTGGTTAAAGGTTACAAAAATTTCAGTTAGGAAGAACAAGTTCTAGAGATCTATCAATAGTAACTACAGTTGATAACAATATATTGTTTACTTGAAACTTTCAATGGAGCTTTTAAATGTTCTCACCACAAAAACTGCTAAGAATGTGAAGTGATGAATATGTCATTCCAAAATGTATTTATTCATCAAAACATCCCCTTGTACACCATAAATATATATAATTTACATTTGTCAATTTAAAATATAAAAATTGTGTGTATATGATAAAATACATGAATTGTGTGTGTATATATGATAAGATGTTAAAAAATAATAAGAGGCTATCTTCATGACCTTAGGATAATCAAGGGTTTATTAGAACACACAACATGCCAACAAGGAGAAAAATCAATTAATTGTACTTAACATAATTAAGAGACCATTAAGACAGTAAGTACAATGACAAGCCACAGAATGGGAGGAAAAAAATTGTATATCTAGGAAACATATGTAACAACAACAAAACAACAAAGGCAGGTAATGCAATAGAGAATTGGGGAATTTGAGCCTGCAATTCATAAAAGAGAATACCCAAATGGATAATACACATATATAATGGGGCTGAACTTGATTCATTATCATAGCAATGCAAATTAAAACTACAATAGGATATCTCTATGTACTCACCTCAAGGCTCAAACAATGAATGGATATTCTATTCTATGACTAGATCTTGTTTACAGCAGAGGTAGAGTATGGATTGGTACAATCACTCTGGGTAACATTTTGACAGCATTTAACAATAATGAACCTACACATTTCTCATTACTTAGAAATTCTATATCTGTTATAAACCATACAAAAATGCATAGTTAAGCTCATGAAAAGATAAGCATGAGAATGTTCATAGAATCACTTCAAAATATCTCAAACTGGAAACAACCCAAATACGTATTCAGAATAAACTGATGAATAAATGATGGTATATTCATAGAGGAGAATACTACATAGCAACACGAACGAACTGCATTTTCTGAATGGACCACAATTGCAACCAAAAACATGAATGAATCCCCAAAGTGTGTTGAGTAAAATAAGCCACTCACAAAAGAGTATATATTGCATGATATCATTAATATAAAGTTCAAAAATAGGTTATTCTAAGGTGTTAGAAGTTGTAACAGTGGTTATCCTTGGTGGTGGTGGTGGTAGAATAAAATGAGATTAGATACAGCCCAAGTATGTGCTTCAGAAATGCTTTGTTTCTTTATGTGGTGCTATTTACAGTGATGTTTTTTATTTTCTAAAATTTCACTGGGTGTGCCCTTGTTAATTATCTTCTTTTTATAAAATTAAACTAATTGTATAAATAGTCAAACATACTGGAAAATCAAATCATAGCTAGCCATGATTCTCCTCTGTAGTCTAACGAACTTGTAATCTATAACACTGAATATTCTAAGTAAAACGATTAGAAATTTGATAAGCTTTTTCTAACATGATTTTTCATTAGGTACAAGCTCATATTGTTTACTCTGCTTTGATTTGATTTAAAAAGTTTCAAAATAACCTGAGTGAGATAAAGGAATTATTTGATAGTTGCTAATCATAGAAAATAGCCTCAAATATATGACCAATAATAATGTCTGTGGAAATGAAATGGCATAGAAGATAAAAGAATATAGGAATGAAGTTCACTTCATAAATATGACATAATTTGAATTATTGAAGGTGAAGGAGTTTTTACTGTCATTTATTTATATCTTTTATCTTTCAAGCCTTACTATCAGACCAATAGGAGCAAAAGGCTGTGATATTTCATTACAAATGTACAGTGTTATATAGAATACAGGTTTTCATTTATTATTCTTAAAATGAATACCCAAGATCATATAAAATAATTCACTTTGAAGTGAAGGGGGGCTAAATAATTCATGTATTACGTTTACCATGGACCTTCTCTAGTCTGCTTGTGGAGAAAATCTCCTTTCTTGGATGAGAAATTACATTGGAAATATATAAACAGCGGCACAGTCATGTGATTTCTTCTGCTCACCTTAATAGAAATTAGATGCTTATATCATCTGTGGCTATTTAAGACATAGTATTGACCATTTTTCCATTGGTCATGTTTCTTTCATGATGGAAAAATAGGCTAACTTACTTAATAAAAGAGAAAAAAATGTCTGAGATTTCAACCCATAAAATTAAGCACTTCTCTTTAAAATATTTTTATCTAACTCTCAATAAGCCTAAAAAACTACTCGTGGTACTTTTTTATTTTGCAGAATTTCATTATTTTATTTAGGAATTCATTACAGAAATATTTATGGCACATTCATACCATGCCAGGCTAGATTCTTGGAATACAGTGCTAAGCTCTGGAAAAACAAAGAACAACCTTTCCTCAAGATGTGTAGTGGAAGAGACAGATTTTTAAGATTGTGCCAGCTATTAAAGAGAACTAATCAGCTCCCCTCTAAATGTGATCTAGACAAACTTGGAGAAAATGACACTGTAGTTGATTTGAATGTGTTCCCACCTAATTTCTCTTAATGGTAATATCTTGTGTAAATATAGTACAGTATCACAACCATGAAATTGATGGATATAATTTTTGGCCTTAATCAGAATTCATCACTTTTACATGCACTCGTGTGTGTGTGTGTGTGTGCACATGCATGTGTGCATGTTTAGGTCTATGCGATTTTCTCTCTTGTGTAGATTCATGTGATTACCACCACAGTCAAGATACAAAAGAGTTCCTCGTGATGTCCTTTAACAGCCATAGCTACTTCCTTGCTCCCCTTCCTAATCTATAGAAATCACTGAATTCTTCTTTATCTCTATAATTTGGTCATTTCAAGAAGATCACAGGTGTGTCCAATCTTTTGGCATCCCTGGGCCACACTGGAAGAAGAATTGTCTTGGGCCACACATAAAATACACTAATGATACCTGATGAGCTAATAAAATAAAATAAAATTTCTCATAATGTTTTAAGAAAGTTTACAAATTTGGGTTGGGCCACATTCAAAGCTGTAAAGCTGTCCTGGACCACATGCAGTCCATGGGCTGTGGGTTGGAAAGCTTGGGTTAAAGAACTGGAGTCATTTCTTATGTAACCATTTGAGATAGACTTCGTTTTCACTCAGCATAATTTCCTAGAGACCTATCCAAGAGGTCTTGCACATTTCAATGTACCGATGAATATTCAGTACATTCTTACATGTATCAATTTTTAATAGCTCTTTCCATGTCACTGTTGAGGAGTATTTAATGGCATGAATAAATGTATATTCAGTTAAACACAGTTTTACCAGTAAAACACTGAAAGACATAGAGGTTGTTTCCAATTTTAACTGTTATAAATAAAGTGACTATCAATAGTCACATATAGTTTATGTGTGAATATCAGTTTTATTTTATTTGAAATAAATGCCCCAGATTGTAGTTGTTAGATCATGTGGTAAGTGTATGTTTTGTTTAGCTTCATTAGAAATTGACAGTTATGTACAGTAAGAACACTGACCCACTATCTTTACATTTTCTAGTAACACAATATATCATCATTAGCTATAGTTACCAGGCTGTACAATGAATCCCTTGAACTTATTTGATACGTTTCGGCTTTTCTTTTTTCTTTTTTTGGTTGGGATGTGGGGGGACGGAATTTCGCTCTTGTTGCACAGGCTGGAGTGCAATGGCGCGATATCGGCTCACTGCAACCTCCGCCTCTTGAGTTCAAGCGATTCTCCTGCATCAGCCTACCAAGTAGCCAGTATTACAGGCATGCACCACCACACCCCACTAACTTTTTTCATATTTTAGTAGACACGAGATTTCACTATGTTAGCCAGGTTGGTCTGGAACTCTGACCTCAAGTGATCAGCCCGCCTCAGCCTCCCAAAGTGCTGGGATTATAAGCGTGAGCCACTGTGCCCAGCCTGTTTTTGTCCCCATCCAAATCTCATCTTGAATTGTAATCCTCATAATCCCCATATGTCAACGGAGAGATCAGGTGGAGGTAATTGAAACATGGGGGTGGTTTCCCCCATGCTGTTCTCATGATAGTGAGTGAGTGAGTTCTCACGAAATCTATTGGTTTTATAAGGGGCTCTCCCCACTCCGCTTGGCACTGCTTCCTGCCACCTTGCGAAGAAAGGGCCTTGCTTCCCCTTCCCCTTCCCCTTCTGCCATGATTGTAAGTTTCCTGAGGCCTCCCCAGCCATGCTGAACTGTGAGTCAATGAAACCTCTTTCCTTTATAAATTACCCAGTCTCAGGCAGTTCTTCATAGCAGTAAGCAAAACGGATTAATACATTATTCCTCATATCTAAGTCATTACATATTCTTTTTTAGTGGATATAGAATTCTGGCTTCACAGTTCTTTTCTGTCAGCACTTTAAAAATGTCTTCTGGTTTCCATGGTTTCTTCTGAGAAATGTACAGTCATTGAGTCATTGTTCTTTCGTATATAATGTATTTTTTTTCTGGATGTTTACAACATTTATTTATATATCTCTGGTCTTTAGCAGTTTTATTGTGATGCCATGGGCATATGTTTCTTTGGATTTCCCTTGTTTGGTTTTCACAGAGGCACATGGCTATATTATTTTGTGTCTTTTGCCTAATTAGAAAGTTTTCAGGCTCATGTCTTCAATTTTTTTCTGTTCCATAATATTTATCCTTCTTTTCTGAGATAGTCATGGAATGAATGTTAGACCTTTTGATATTGTCCTCACAGATTCCTAAAGTTGTGCTAAATTTCCATGCAGTGTTTTTCCCTAGTCCTATAGATTAAAAGATTTCTATTGATGTATTTTCAAGTTCACACATTCTGCCCTCTTTTGTCTCCCTTCTGCTATTGAGCCCTGTATTTTTAATAAATTAAAAATAGAATACAATACAAAATATACAATTTTTTGTCAATTATAAATTTTTTGTCAATTATAAATTTTTCAATTGGTTCTTTAAAAAAATTATCTTATTTGTCTGCCAAGATTTTCTGTCTTTCCATGTGTTTCAACATGTTTTGCCATGTCTTCTTGGAGCATAATTATAGTTATTCCTTTAAAGTTATGGTCCAGTAATTTCAACATTTTTTTCTTCTCAGGTTTGACATCTGTTGATTTTCTTTTTCCTTGAAAATGTGTCAGACTTCCTCAATTCTTTGTAAGTTGTGTTAGCCAGAATAGAAGATGGCCCACCATGCACCCCAGGGACAGACTTAACTCATTGTTTAGTTCCTTCCCACAGTAGGAACAATATGTTTAACCAGCAGTTTGCAGCAGGTTTGATGTATGTTATTTCTAAAGTGAAGTTATAACAAGACCCTGTGGTTTCTATGTTGGACACTGTCCTTCTCCTTTCCCCTTGGATCATTCACTCTGTGGAATGCACTTGTCTTGTCATGAGCAGCTCTATAACAAGGAGCTGGAGCTTTCTGCAAATAACCTTGTGAGTGAGCATGATCTTCCCACATTAATCTTTCAGATAATGGCAACCTAGCTGATATGGTTTGGGTGTGTTCACACCCAAATCTCATCTTGAATTATAACTCCCACAATTCCTACATGTCATGGGAGGAACCCAGTGGGAGGTGATTGCATTATGGGGGAGGGTCTTTCCTGCGCTGTTCTCATGAGAGAGAATGAGTACCACGAGATATATGGTTTTAAAAAGGGGAGTTCCCCTGCACAAGCTCTCTTCTCTTGTTTGCCGCAATCTGAGACATGCCTTTCACCTTCCGCCATGACTGTGAGGCTTCCCCAGCCATGTGGAACTGTAAGCCCAACAAACTCTTTCTTTTGTAAATTGCCCAGTCTTGAGTACATCTTTATCAGCAGCATGAAAACAGACTTATACACTAGATGATAGATTCATGAGAAACTCATGAGATACTTCCCATTGTATCCTATCAGTAGTTCCCTTTCCACTCCTTAGATTAGAAAGAGAAGGCTTCATCTGGAGTTACTTACTCATGTCTGTACCCAGTGAATAGCTCTAGGATTTATCCTGTCAAGAGTCAAAGCTAGGAGATATGGAAGGGGTGGAGAAACTCATCATCAGATCATTTGTACTTTAAATACTTGTTTCTTACCCAACATGCCTACTGTCTCTTACTTCTTAGAGTACTGAAATACGGACTGCATGCATTTTCTTCGTAAATTTTAGTTGAAATTAGTGACAATAGTAGGGTGAAGTGGGCTTTTTCCATCTTTCCTGGAAGTAGATATAAGATTTTGTTTAGTTGGTTGCTTTGGTTTGTTTGATTCCTGCTTTGTTTTTTATAATAGAGTGATAACTTTATGAATAAGACCAATAAAGTAAAACATAAGCAATTCTGCTGACTTATTTTTATATTTATTTGTAGAAAATTATAAATATTATAAACAGTTGTTCCCAAACAATAATAAATTTGAATCCATAATGAAACTATTAACATTCCTATGTACCCTGGATAATAAAATGTTTCTTTTTTACTTCTCTAGATTATGAGAGAAATTATAATGTGTTTACAACCCTCAGATATCTGATAGGTACCTGAGAGATTTTTCATAGCAAACTTCAATAAATTGTAACACTCTTATAAGCTAACTATAGTAGGCTGAAAGAAAATACTTCGACAGAAGTTAACAAACCATTTTTAGGATGCATAGACAATTAATGTAGAATGTTCACTAAGTTCTGACAAAATAATCCTTAGCAATAATATTGATTTAATAAGGTTTATATAGCAATCTTTTTACCTATGTAGCTCAGAAGTACTGTAGCAGCTGACATCTACTCAATTAGTTTCGATTTTACCTGGCAGAAGCCTAAATGCGGAATTTGGCACTTAAAAAATTTCTAAAATGTATCTATTTTCTCAAAAGTGTTCAGTTATTGTTTTTAATGGGTGTTTGCATGTGTGTGTGTTTCATTTGTTTGCGTGTGTGTGTGTGTGTGTGTGTTTCACTTGCTTGGTTCTATAGAAAATTTAATAGGAGAGTTAGAGGTAGGGTGTTTATTTTTAACATTTTATATGTCCTTTCACCCCTCCATTCTCTGGGATTATGGGATTACGGGATTCTGGGGAAGTGAGGTCTACATCATCTTCCACATATCACTCAGGGTTTGTGAGGTTTTCCCCTCTTCTTCCTTCCCTCTCCCATATTTTCTCATTTGGAGCTTTTATAGTCTTACCTTTAAAAAAATGCATGAATAGTTTCCACTGTTAAAATAAATCTTTAAACAAAATAAATTTAACAGAGTTAATTTGAGCATTAAAGAATTGATGATAAAGCAGCACTCAAACTGGAAGAAGTGGCCAGATGCCTCGGCTCACACATGTAATCCTAGAACTTTGTGGGGCTGAGGCAGGAGAATCTCTTGAGCCCAGGAGTTTGAGACCAGCCTAGGAAACATAGGGAGGCCCCACCTCGCCACATAATAAAAAAGTTAGTTGGACATGGTGCTGCGTGCCTGGAGTCCCTGCTACTTGGGAGGCTGAGGTGGGAAGGTAACTTGGGCTCAGAAAGTCAAGACTGAAGTGAGCCATGATCATGCCACTGTACCTCAGCCTGGGCAAAATAGTGAGACCCTCTCTCAAGAAAACAAAACAAAACAAAACAAACAAAAGACAAAAACAAACAAAAAAAAGAGGTTCAGAGATTTCTATTTTAACATAATGAGCAGAAGGCTTTCATAGGTTGAACACAGAAGCAAAGGAAACATTTGATTGGCTACAGCTAGGTGTTTGCCTTATTTGGGCTGGATCCAGCAGGAAGTCCCTAGTTAGAGAAAAGTGGACAGTTTCTGATTGGTTAAGCTTAAGTTTTGTTTTACTATTTACCTCAGACTTTAGTTTTCCTACCTAGGAACCCAACACATTGGAGCAATCTGAGCCTTTAAATTAATTTTTTAACACTGTTTATCTACTTATTTCTTCCAAATACAGGATTTCTCAAGAGTAATTTAAGTGTAAAAAATCTCTGGCCTCCCATTACACACACGCTTTTCTTTTGACAGATAAATATTAAAACTACTTAATCCTTTAGTTTTTGCTGTATTTATCAATTATGACTTATAATAGGATGGTCCAATAATAATGTTATTAAGTATAGTGCAAAAATACCTTAGGGATTAAATCTTAAAGCAATAAAGACAGAATGATATTTATTCTCATTCTCTCTCACTCTCCATTTTATTTTTATGAATAGACATAGTTTTTGTCAATGATTTCATGTAATCAACAATGGCAAGGAACCAATTTTCAGTGTACACATAACATCATTTTATATTGTTTATAAATAATTATTTTTCTTAGCATTGCCCTAACATAGGCATGTGAGCATAAATGCATACACTACAAATATACACACAGCCTCTCAACTGGGTTTATTTTGTAAATTAAAAATAACCACATATAAAGACCCCTGAGCTGAATTTTCTTATAAATCACTTAAAGTTATTCTGGAAGCCTAAGAAA
The DNA here is from genome assembly GCF_000001405.40 of Homo sapiens. Classification (NCBI taxonomy): domain Eukaryota; kingdom Metazoa; phylum Chordata; class Mammalia; order Primates; family Hominidae; genus Homo; species Homo sapiens. Next base: position 55,368,462 of record NC_000010.11, read on the forward strand.
CTCTGACACTCTAGGTGATCTTAAAATATGCCTGCATTTAAGTTTGATTGCTCTATCTGTAGAACAACTATCTCTTAGAGTCACTGAAATGTGTCTATGTCTGTTAAAGTACACAGTCTGAAATCTTAGAGTTACTTGCCATTATTTATAATTTGTGAAATGGACAGCTAATAATATCTATAACACTGGTAGTTCTAAGAATAATGCCATATCTACACAGTAAGACTTAATGAGTATTGGCTGAAAGCCCTTTAAGTAAGTATAATGTACTTTTTCCATTGCTACGAATAACTCCTAAGAAAATGACACTCTTTTGACACTTGAATCAGCTGTAGCTCACTGAATGCTTTACTGAAACCATACAAGTGTATTTTTTATATGTAAGCAGAAAACTACAGGTTGCGTAAGAAGAATATGTGTTGAGATCATTAATTGAGAAAGCAGACAATTTTTTTATTCTTTTGGTGGTTATAATAACCAAAGTGTCTTTATAAAATCATTTATTACTTATTATGCAGCTTGGATAGTCCTGATCTCATTTTTGGGACCAAAAAAAAAAAAAAAAAAAAAAACCCCAGCAAGAACATTGAAACATGATCATAGTCAGAAGGTCAATTCCTTTTCTTATCCTCAGTTTCAGTTTTTCAGTTTCTATTCATATTTCTCACAGCACCAAATCTCTCTGTAACCTTATCAACTAAAGCAAGTATAGGATATTGACACAGAGACTTCTTACTGCCTAGAGTTCTCAGTAGGAAATCCAGCATTTCAGCTAAAACATAAAATTGTTCATAATGCTAGGTAAGTAGTTTCTGCACACTTTTAAGGGTAATTTCACCTCTATCAAGCACCTGGCTCTCTAACTCAAATAAAATTAAAATTTATCACAGGTCTCTGAATATATGAGCCAGATAGAAATCAACAAAGTGTATATTGAGTACCTACAGTTGGCAAGACTAGATGCTATTAATAAGTATAAAAACAAAAAAGTACCCTTGGTCACAGTGGTGCAAGAGCATTTATCCAAGAGTGACAATGGAACAGATTAACTAGTATTTTATTTTGCACCGTACTAAATAAATTAAATGCACCAGACTATACAAATACATTAACTAAAAATATAATCTAAAATGCAACAGAATATCCTATAATTCCTGTGTTTTTTAACCACAGATTAATTCCTAAAGTTTTACTTTGATACCTACAAATTTAAAGTTAGCAGCCACCTATATTAAGACTTCTTCCACAGGCATGTGAGATCATATTATCTAATGCCTTGCCTTACTTATTCAACAGTCATGCCTCATAACCCAGAATAAACATGTAATTGGTCAGCCAATTGTGTACAATTTTCAGAATGAAAAAAAGAATATTAATACTTCCATTAGGAAAACAGATGTAAAGAGGGTCTGTCCTGGACTGAGACACATGCTTATTCCAATGAACTGGTCTATCTTTGGCTAGAAAGCAAAATGGTCAAGTAATGGCAATAGCTTGAAAAAAAATCAGGGACCATCCATCAAATTATATAACCTAAATTTTAAATGATCACAGAAAATAACTTGAACATATTTCAAATGTTTAGCATTTTTAAAAGATCTGATATCCACTTGTAGGGAGAGTCTGTAAGTAACCAAAGAACCTCAAAAATCTAGACTATTCCTTAAATCTCATGCACATTAAGCTTCTCATTGTCTGTTTGAAATAAATGGGGAGGACACAGAGGCCTTCACATAATCACTAAATGACAAAGAACAGATGTGAACCATTTACGGGTAAATGTGCACACTGGCAAAGAAAAAACACAATAAAACAGCATGCATTGAACCAACCAGATTGGCTTTTAAATGACTCATACTTGTGTGATTGCTAAAGACAGCAAAAAAAATTAAAAAGCTCACTTGACTAGGGCTAATACACTTCAGTTACTTTAAATTAACCACTAATCATGCCTTTTTCTTGTGCATTTCTTTTTGACAGCCAAATTGAAATATGCCTTTTTCTGAATTTATAAGAACAAAAACAACTAATGAATCGCCTGTTAGGTCATTATTGGTTTTGCAACCAACTGTTCTTCTGGATAAAAGTACCCTTTCTTAATTATAAACTGTCTATTCAGAATCGCTTCTGAAGTTCAGAGTCCTAATTAATGTTATATTTAGTGATCCTTACAAATTGCTTCTTGTTTTATGTTAGTATCCTTTTTATATTTTGAAATAAAGCAGGAATCATCTCTTTAAAGTAAATCAGAAGTGTACCTTTAAGCCACAGTTGCTGAGCAGGCCAACTCTCTTTCTTCCGATTATCTTCAAACTCACCTCTACTATGGTTCACACTATCCCTAACATATAATCCATCCAATTGACTCACTCTGCAGTAGCATAGCTATTACTTCTCATGCCAAACATAGGTATTGGTGCCCAATTATATTATCACTTCTTGAAAGCAAAATCAGGTCCTGACAAATGGCCTGTAACTTTGAGGTTGCATCTGAATTTGGGTGTGTGACAACAGAGAAAAGCTAGTAGCTCATTTTTTTGATTTACGAAAATGAAGACAAGGCCAATCTTTTCATGAGTTTCTATTGTTTTGTTGCATCATAGTTTTAGCATGGTTTCAAATTTCATGTAAGAGGGTAAAATATAGCCATGTAAAACAATTTAAGGAAAGGACAATTTTTAAAGATAGGATAGAGATACGGAGAGTATAGATTAAAAGGATGAGAAATTAAACTCAGAGAAGTTAATTATAGGGAGACTACTACAGACTGATTATTCTCAAATGTGATCTCATACCAGCACAAATTACCACATTTCTGGCAACTTGCTAAAATTAAAATTCTTGAGCCTTACCCCAAACTTCAGAATCAGAAATTCGTGGAGGGGCCTTATAATCACTTTTAAAAGCCCTCTAGCTGATTCTGAAGGATGCTAAAAATTTCAGAACCACTGCAATAGTGATATGATTTGGCTCTGTGTCCTCACCCAAATCTCATGTTGAATTGTAATCCCCACTGTTGAAGGAGGGAACTGAGGGAAGTTGATTGGATCATGGGGGCCGAATTTCTCACCTTGCTGTTCTTGTGATACTGAATGAGTGCTCAAAAGATCTGGTTGTTTGAAAGTGTGTAGCACTTCCCCCATCACTCTCTCTCTCTCTCTTTCTCTCCCATGGTAAAGACATGCTTGCTTCCCCTTCACCCTTACACCATGATTGTATGTTTCCTGAAGCCTCCCAGCCATGTTTCCTGTATAGCCTGCAGAGCTGTGAGTCAATTAAACCTCTTTTCTTCATAAATTACCCAGTCTCAGGTAGTTTTTTATAGCTGTGTGAAAATGGAGTAATACAAACAGATATGTAGTTTTCAATCCAAATAAATGGAAAAAAATTTAATCAGTTACTAAGTAATATGTTTTAATATCTTAAGGAAGTATGTAGGTAAAGGTGGTAAAAAAGTAAATTCATGTTTACATTAAGATTTTTTAAAGTCCAAGGTAATTTCTCTAAATAGAAAGTTGCATTGCTCAACTTCAAACAGATTCATACAAGTGAGCTGGAAGCATAGAAATTTAGATATTTTAAAGAAGAATAATTTGAACAATCATCAGCTAATTGTTTCAATTAAATAAAATCACAATAGAAACTTAATATAATCATCCCATCCATGCTCCCATTTGATCTTCATAACAAACCTGGAAAATGTATAGGGCACATATTTATTATTTTTCTACACTTATAGAGAAATGCATTTACTCAAGATTCTCTAGCTCTTAAATGTCCAAGCTCTGAAACCACACATTTCTCATTTTAATTCAAGTTTTCTTCCTCTTGTTTCCACCTGCACACCCACCCATATGGCAGGCACCATGCTAAGAACTTAGTTTTTGCATAGGAGAAATATGGGGTAAAATCTTTCACTCTTTTGTAGAAAATATTAAACTGGAAATATATACAAAAACTACTTTATAATCCCTTAAAAATCAAAAAACCAAAGGATATCTTCAAGATTATTACAACCCAGTTAGGTCAGTAATATTTAGACACATAGACATGTATGAACAGTGTGCATGAGGGAAAATAGTCAAAGCTGTATGTATTCTAGAGAATGATGCTAAGTAGAATCAGAGCAAGAGGAGGCTTTTCACATGCTTCATCCAAATTCCAAATCCCTCATGATGAGGCAAAGCCAAACTTAAGCCAAATTGATAATGTGTCATTATACCTGTGCTCATGCAGCTCTCCTTCCAAAATCTTCAACCACTTCTCTCATATCACCAGGGCCTCTTATGAAGATGCCCTTCTGACACATCATTTCTGTAATACATAGTCTTCTCCCAAGACTTTGAGAGTACTAGACAAGCAATGGATTTAAACCAAGTTGGAACATAATGAGTAAACATATATCCACGTAAAAACATTCTATTTATTACATTCTATTTATTTCTAAAGGATATCAACAAGAAAAAAATTGATAAATAAATGCAGCTAATTTAATACACCATGATATTTTTAGGAGGTTGTAGCCTTTGTGAGTCTAGTGCTGAGCTAGACATTAAGATTCAAAAAATAATTAAAAATGACTGACCTGAAAGAATTCTTAGTCCAGCAAGAACCAAAGCCATAGAGACAGCAACAAACCTACCAGACAGGTTTATCAGGAGACAAATAACTATGTTGAAAATTCTAAAGAAGCAGCAGAAGTAAATTTATGCTATTAAGGGGAAAGCTCCATGACTTAGGAGTTATGGAACTTTAATCATTTATGTAGCTATATACAAAGATTATTTCAGGCAGCTCTGATACCTTTATTAAAAATACAGGAGTAGAAAAATCCATGGTATCTTTGGGCACAACAAGGTGAACTACTTAGCTGGAACAAAGTCTTTCCATGGGGGAAAGTATCAATTAAGAATTTGTGCTAGAACGGGCAGATGATAATTCCTTCTATAAAAATATAGGTGCAAATAGGGATATAATCTCAAAATGGCAGCATTTCCAAGTAATTACTCTAGAAAAATGCAAGAAAGCTGAGTGATATCATACCTAGACCTCATTAAAATACAGAAGGACAGTACAGGTAATCTAAAAAAAAATGTCCAGTGCCCAAGGAAAAATAATTTAAGAATGGAGGAAAACATGAGGCCACCATGTTAGTGCGAGATCAGAGAGGCTCTTATGATAACAACATGAAATAATAGGGAGTGATGCTGTTAGGAAAGGTAGACTTGTACATGGAGGCTTCAGACCCCCACCCAACTACGTAAGAATGAGCTTTGGTCCATGCCTATGTCCTGAATGGTATTGCCTAGGTTTTCTTCTAGGGATTTTATGGTTTCAGGTCTTACGTTTAAGTCTTTAATCACCTCATTATCAACAGACTAACGCAGGAACAGAAAAGCAAACACTGCACATAAGTGGGAGTTGAACAATGAGAACACATGGACACAGGGAGGGGAACATCACACACCGAGGCCGGTGGTGGGGTGGGGGGCTGGGGGAGGGACAGCATTAGGAGAAATATCTAATGTAGATGACAGGTTGATGGATGCAGCAAACCACCATGCATGTGTATACCTATGTAACACACCTGCACGTTCTGCACATGTATCCCAGAACTTAAAGTATAATAATAATAATAATAATAATAATAATAATAATAATAAAAGAATGGGCTTTGGGCTTTGATTCTTCCTTACTAAGAGATACAGTCTGTGCTGGACTTGCTTTGTGTCATATGGCACCTAGCCAACACCACTGCTGTATTTGTCCCCTGTGAGGAAGGGGTGGAGATTTGGTCTTTTGTTTTTCAGCAGAAGAGGGATGTGTGCAGGCCAATGGCCTTGAGTCAGCTACTGGGAGAGGCCCTCTGGCCATGGAGGACTGACACCCACTACTAAAGCTGATCTTGCTCTGTTTTTTCTCTATGTGTGTAAAGCTTTGTTCATTCCAGTGCTTGACTGAATTATGTTTTCCTTGAGGACTCCATTACCAAGATGCAGTGAGAAGAGGTGTTTGGGCCTCTACTCCTGGTGATAGGCAATAGATATCACTTGCTTGACAGATGCCAAGTAGAATAGCTTCCCATGACATACTCAAGAGTCAGAAACTTAATATGAGAAAAAAAGTGCAGCTTTAAATCGGCATGCATTTTACCCCAAATTCATAATTAAATAAATATTAATACTATTAGTATATGTAAAAATAAAAAGATTCTATACAGTTACTACCCATGAATACAAAAAGGGATGAAATGATTTTAATATTTACTTTTTATTTATCAACTTATTTTTGAGATGCCTGAAAGCATAATTTTTGTTGTGAAAAATTGAGTGATGCACGGCAGCCATTACACGGTACCTCACTGGCATTCCATAAATATGATTTGAATAAACATAAATGAATAAATGAAGGAATTATTGATCTGACCAACAATATAAAAATAGAGTAGAAAGGAAACTCTATAAAATGACATTCTACATAAACATTTACTATGATGAATCTTGTTAAAATTTTTATGAGATCTACACTTCAGTTACCAAGTAACTATCTTCTATCTTTTCATCCAGAGTTTGTTACACAGCTGCTTCCAGTTCCTCACCACATATATGTTGTGTTAGCTATGTAGGAGTTATTGGAACAGACAAATGACCTCTTTTGGTAATTGTGTTATGTGGTAATGTCAATTCTGAGTTTGCCACAGCAAGTACTAAGGGCTAATACTTTTGATTTTTTCTCTGCCAAAAAAGCATTCAATATGTGGCTGCTTTCCGGTGAGTGTTCCTGAAAGGTATCAAATTTCTTTAAGGAAAACTTAAGAAAGAATGGCAGGGAAGTAATATTTAAATCGATTTTTAAGTGATTTTTTTTCCTGTGATCAAAATTAGTCAAAATTAGTGAAGGCTGGAATATGGGATGTTCTCATAATGAATCATGATTTCCTAGTCATTGTTTCCTGTAATCGTGGTTTATTTAAAGTTTTTCTAAAATTTTAAAGTCCTCATTAAATTATCTCATCTGCATCATCACAATTTCTGTATCAGAATATTAATTGCCAAAACTTCTAAAGTCTTTGTTCTTTTGCATCTTTAAATGCTATGGGGAGAGTGTCTTCTCTATGTCTAATTTATGACAATCCAAATAAAAGTTATCAGATTTATTTCCCCAAATTGCTTGCATCTGATATCTTAGAGTACTTGCACTGGTTTCCCCTCCACAGCCAGAATTACAAAGACAAAAGCTTTTTGTTAGCTACCTTCAATCCCTTGTGATGTTCACTTGCTTAATAAGCCAGATGATTTTTTTTTTACTTCCTACCTAATTAACACTTTCTCTTTAGCATTTGCTCTTGGGAATTGCAGAAAATTTAGTAGAATAAAAAATTTAACAAACATCAGAAAAATATGATTAGATATACTGTTTTTACCACCAATCTATATATCAGGGGAGTAAAAACTATGTAATTTTTGAAAATACTATGTTAATAAATATGAGTGTTTATTTTATTCGTAGTGTCTATAAAAATAGTTAATATAACATTTTAGTTTAGGACCATATTTATCACACTAGATCATAACTTTTATAAGTGCTTATATTCCTCAAAAGATTATTACAGAAATTAATCATAACAGAATATATTAGATGATAACTATTTCCTAATATTTAAAAATTCCACCTTTCCTGTTCTTCATCTGCATGTTTGGTTTGAGATTAAATTTCAGTATTATGTAGAACTCCACAGGCAACCAAATACTATGTAGGATATTTTATTTTAATTTTCTATTTTGTGAAGATGAATCCAGTTTTCGATCCACTTAGATATGTTATAAGTTAGGTTATCCCACAGGATTTGCATTATGTTAAGCGGTACGACTATGAGAAAACTGAGACTTCAAAAGAATTCTTGCCCTTGGCGTCTCAGGTTTCATCACAGGAGCCATTATTCATGGAATATCATTATTTTTGGCTTCTATTTAAGCTTATCTCTTTGTCCTTGATTTTTAAAGCAATGATTTCTTTCTACAAGGGCCAGAAGTATTTATCTGGCTTTTGACTTACAGTATCTGAATCATGTTCTGCTTTAGTTTTCCAGAGACTCCCATTTTTAGCTTTGATTATTGAAGAAGAAGGTATGTAATATTCCCATATAAATATGGCCCTTTAATAATTAACATTTTGATCTTATTGGCTTATTTCAACTAAAATTTTGTATAGCTTCAAGATTGCAAATTAGTTCAGGACTTTCAGATTTTACTGTTGTTCTTGGAGAGTCAATACACCTATAAGCGGATTTTTCAAATGAAATTTAACTCTGAAATATGTAGATCCTTTGTGAAAATGGTTTAACTATTTCAGATATGTTCTTCATCAGAAATTGTGGCTTTACTTTTACTAAGCAGGTCAAAATGTAGTATTAGTGTTACATTTGATGAAATGTAAATAGAATAGTCTAGGCAAGAATGTTAAATATTTGCTTCCTGGCTTAAAATTATAACCCTATTTTTAAAAAACTAGCTATTAAGTCATATTTTAAAAGGAACACATTTTCTCAATGATAGGCAAGGAATTTGTGTTTAAATGTAATTGATGAGAAAGCACTATTAGAATATTAGTTCATATATTGGGCAATTGTGCCAGGGCTTTGAAGTGCTTCTTGGCTATTAACTTTGTGATAACTCTTTCTTCACTAAAAAAAAAAAAAAAAAGAAAAGAAAAACAGACTGGAAGTACTGTCACCAGGCAGGCTCTTAAGTGTCCAAGGCAAACTATTTTAAGTTACAACAAAAAGAGGGAAACATTAATAATTCTACAAGCAGTTTGACTTGCTATATGTCATAAGAAAATTATTTTCTACCCGACAGTGCCAGTATTTGGGGTAGAGTAAAAGAGAACTATCTTATAAAGTCTATCTTATTAAAATAAATTATTCATTAATTTGTGATTTGGAAAGGAAAACAAGTATTCCTGGTTTATTTAAAAACAGGAAAATTTTGATTTGCGTATTCTATAAAAATAGCTTACTTATATTTAATTACTATATTTTTTATATTTAGTAAAATAGCTTACTATATTTAGTAAAATAGCTTGCTATATTTAGTTGCTATATGTTTCAAGTTCTCATAAAAATAATTCAATAAAATAAGTCATTTTTTATGACATTTATATTTGACCTTTACATAGAGGCCTCTTTGATCATTACAACTTGGTTTACCTGGTACTAACCTTTTACCACTATATATATTCTTTTATGCTTTTCATTTCACGTATACTTTCTGAGTACCTAGTATAAAAGATATTATGACATGTATGTTTATTGCTGTTCAGAATAGCAAAGACTTGGAACCAACCCAAGTGCCCATCAATCATAGACTGGATGAAGAAAATGTGGCACATATAAATCATGGAATACTATGCAGCCATAAAAAATAATGAGGTCATGTCCTTCGTGGCGACATAGATGAAGCTGGAAACCATCACTCTCAGCAAACTGACACAGGAACAGAAAACCAAACACCGCATGTTCTCACTCATAAGTGGGAGTTGAACAATGAGAACACATGGACACAGGGAGGGGAACATCACACACCAGGGCCTGTTGAGGGTTAGGGTGCTACGGGGAGGGATAGCATTAGGAGAAATATCTAATGTAGATGACGGGTTGATGGGTGCAGCAGACCACCATGGCACGTTTATACCTATGTAACAAACCTGCAGATTCTGCACCTGTATCCCAGAACTTAAAGTATAATAATAATAAAAGATATTATGACAGCTATTGGCAGTGGTTTCCAAGATGAAGTAGACATGAAACAAGTCTTCAAGAGGCTTATAGAACATAGGTGGATATGGGACATACACATTAGCAATTGTCAAAGAAGGGAGAATGAGATGAATCATAATATGTTGAAAAAATGCTCTGGGATTTCAGAAGAGAATACTGTTGGAATTTGGTGCTATTCTCATACTTGACTCAGCACATATTGTAAAATAGCAATATATATCCCCTTAAAAGGAACTACACATTTGAAGCATTATTCACTTAGCAAAAAGTACTGAAGGGATATGCTTAACTTTTTATGGAACTATTTACCTCATTTTTGATTCACACCATGAATTACAACCAAAAACGTACAAAATATCTTTAGAAAGTAAACAAAAAAATTCTATAACCATTTGTTTCCAGAACAAACTTCTCCATTCCTCAATTCAACAGTTTTAGATAGCATTCTAGGGAATAAATGAAAGCATCAATGAAAGAATTATGATCAATACATTTGACCAAATGAGGCATAACACCTTACTAACTAGCATTAGGGTTTTCAATTTATATAAATCCATCCCCTCTCCCTCCCTCCTTTTTCTCACTCTCTTTTCTCTTTCTCTTTTCCCTCTCTTCCTTTCTTTGTGTAACTCTCCCCATCTCTCTCTCTCTCTCTCTCTCTCTCTCTCTCACATATGCCCTTAATGTACTTATAAATAGAATGAAAATATTCAATTGCTTATTTTTCCCGTATCATAGTCCATACAACCTTTAACTTATTTTTTCACTGTCCCAACCCAGTGGTTTTGACATTTTGGGAAGAGAGTCACTTGAAATTATTTCTAAAACAAACTTGTAATGAACATCAGAATGCCAGGCACATACATTGATATATATATATATATGTATGTATGGCGCCTATTAATTTTTTTTGGGAAAACAAATCTTTGTTAAGAGCCTCAGATCAAGAATCTGCCTTTCCCCTACAGATGTAACTGTAAATAATCACCTCCCCTGTTATCCTGTCTAAGGCCTTTGGTAATCACAGACGCTTTCTTCAATGTGTTATTCTCCTAATGTACCCCTGTCAATATACTAACAGTCCAGGAGTGTAGAACTATGGGTAAGAAAATAATTATTTAAAGGGTAAAAGAGAAAAAGTGGAAAAAAAGCTGAATCAGTATAAAAAATCATTTAGAAAGTGATATATAAAGTAATATATTGGTATTTATTTTGTACTTTATTAATTATTGTTAAATGATCAATTATTTAGTACATAGTAGGTTATAGGTCACGAATATCAATATATCTATTCCCTTTAAAAACACTACTTTATATATGGGCAAATTAAGACAGGGAGAAGTTAAGTAATTCACCCAAGGCTACAGCTAAATACTTATTTAGCTGTAAATACTTATTTACAAACCCAGGCAGTCAGGCTCCAGAATCCATAACCTCAAATACTATATTTACCCCCACATACATAGTATTTCATTTAAAAGCAAGATTTCTGATTTGGGCTCCTTGAGAGGCTAGTTCACAAGTATAAAGGGCAACAAAGTGTATCAGACTCACTTGTTTACTACAGGGAAAAAAGAGGGGGAAACAATATTAGGAAACATAGCTCTAATTTTGTCTCCTATGGCTGATAAAAATCTGTTTCTACCAGAGAAGGCAGTTATTCTAGAAGTGCTAAGGGTACTAAAGAGTAAAGAAAATATAGTAATACTAACCAAAGAATAAAACACTGAAAATGTAGGCCAATAATCCAATGAAAGTCAATAACTTAGAGTCAAAGAGAAGGATTAAAAAAATAAGTTAGAGACAGTCAGGTCAATTACAAACTATTAGAGAAAAATGACTGTGATCAGAGCCAGAACTCACATGAGAAAAATAAACACTGGTCTATTACCCTCAATTTATAAATGTCTCATAAAGTGACAGGCAATGTATGGAGGTAGAAAGAATTATAAAGAGAGTAAATGGTGTAACAGTCATCCAAAGAATATTCAGTGGGCAAAAATAAATACAATGTCACTAAAAAGACATAGGGAAAGAAATATGTGAAAACATTGGTTTTTAAGTCATAGTTTGAAGAATTTAAGAACTCTCTGATACTACAAGTCTGGTGATTAATGATACAGGGTGTACTTATGAGAGACAATTCTCTATGGGTCTTTCCAGTTTCTATACATCTTTTGAGTAAAGAAATAATAGCTTTTGTTCTGTCACTTTTTCAAGGATGTTAGTATTGCAAACAACTTTAGAAGATAGTGCAAAAAGCAAATTTGTTTGCTGAAAAGTATTATAAAATAATGCCCCCTTAGTGGGTGAAGCTTAGAAGAATTTGCTAGTGGCCTCTTCCAAAAGCTGAGATTTTTCTAGTCTCAGTGTTTCTGACCTGTCATACAATCCCACTGTGTATGCGGTATTCACCTCAATCCACCTCTGCATTGGCCACGCAGGACTTGGAGAAGGGACAAGGGGCCAAGAATGCAAACATGATGCTCATATTGCCCACTACACCATAAATAATAAAGTTCTTTGTCTCTCATTTGGAAATCTCATGACTTCTGCCAGCATCCATGAAACTGTGGCTAGATAACGTGTTATCTTGCAAAGTAAAACGTCAGACCCTTCACAGTCATTGATAGATTTGATGACAAAAGTGAGATACAGAGACACAGATATTTAGAAGATGAGAGGTTCAAAGCCCTCTGAAAGTTTATTTGAAGTTATAAAGAGCCTCTTTGGGATAAGGTAGTAAATGTTCTTACCCAAGTGGTAGGAAAGAATAAGGATTTCCTAATGTCCAACCTGTTAATAAATGTTGAGAGGCTGAGCAATGAGAGGAGGGACAGAAACAATTTTCCCCTGATGTGCTTTGGTTGTTGGTTGTTTACTCTCCTCCAGGCAGGAGCAGAAAAGTGAGCTCCTATGACAATAAAGACAAGAGTTTCATAGCCCATTATCACAAAAGGCAGTGTTTGTCTCCACTGAGTCAAAGGGTCCTGTAGACAGAATCAATAGTATCAAACAATGAGGATGTAGAGCTTTGGATTGACCAAAACCAGAAGTCTGGTTAGTTGAGCCAGTACATAGCAGACAACTTGAAACCAAAAATAAATGTGGTTTACATGCTGATCTAGAGCCACTCTCTCTCTCCAGCACCTTTGATTTCCTCTCTTTTTCTCCCCTGATGTCAACTGCTTTAAAGAGAAAAATGATTAGGAGTAGAAACAAGATATGTCCCCAAGAGAGATGAAAGGTCATGGTCATCCAACAGAGCATACTGGAGAACAAGAGAGAGAGGAGGAATTTAAGTCTTTATAATTCTACAGGGTATGGGCCTCCAAATCACCATCCTGTCTAAGCCCATGATGGGAAGGGGTGGAAGGTACAAGCCTGACTGAAGGCACTGAGAGCTGCAGGGCAGATACTCACCAAAATGCATAGGAAAAACAAAAATAAAAAATAAAGAAGAAGACCTGGATATACACAGAAGCACAGATGGTATTGCCCCTGTGGTGAAAAGCCAAAAAGAATTTTAAAAGTAAAAGAAGAAAAAGAAAGGAAAACAAAAGCCTCTAAGTTGATCCGGCCACTCACCACCAGCTGTTTTACCTTCTGCCCATCATCCCATCCAATCCCAATACCCCTCACGCTGATTGGCTGGAGGAAACAAGTTTGCACTCTGAAAGAAAAGTTGTCTGAGAAAGAAGTCAGCCCTTGAAAAGTAGAGGTGAGAGATGGAGAGGATAAAACCAGATCCTAAAAGAAATTTGTTTGAATCTCTATATCCAGCTACAGCTATAAGTCATCCTACCCTCAGCAATATAGATATGAAAGCTAAATAATTTCACCTTCTTAAGCCTGTTTGGGTCACATTTTGAAACACTGGATATACAAAAAATTCCTAATTGATACTAGCCACAAATTCATCTGATAATTGTTACCATGACATCTGCCTTGTTTTTACTTTATTATTTTTTTAATTCCTCTGCCTTGGTAGGCAGAATAATGGTCCCCTAAAGAGGCTTATATCCAAATCCCTGCGAGCTGCGATCATGTTATATTGCATGGAAACAAAAATTAAGGCTGCTAATCAGCTAACTTTAAATAAGAAAATTAACCTGATGAAACTAATGTAATCACAGGGGTCCTGAAATTAGATGAAGGAGACTGTGAAGTCTAAGTGATGCTATGTGACAAGGACTAAATCTACCATTGTTGGTAGATTTTAAGATGAATGAAAGTACCACAAGCCAAAGAATGCAGGTAGCCTCTATGAGCTGGAAAAAGGAAAACTTATTCTCAGCTAGAGTACAAAGGTACACGGCCAGAACAAATTCTTGATTTTAACCCAGTGAGACACGTGTTGGATTATATCCTATAGAACTGTATGATAACGTATATGTGTTGTTTAGGCTCTTCATTCAGGAAATTTGTAGAAAACTAATATGCCCACACAAATTCAGTTCCTGTGGCCATGAGTCTACTGGAATGACTCATCTTGGCCTTGATGATGATACTGAGATGGGAGAGAGTTCCTTGACCCCTTCACGGGACTTGAGACAGGTTTGTGGCTCGCCTACTTGGCCACCGCAGTGATCAAACCCCTTGTGGGAGGAGGAGCACTCAGGCAAGTGGATGCCAGGGCTAGGGCAAGCACTTTTGTGCTCCAGGCCCACAGCAGCATCTATGGGTGTGTTACAGTTAATGCTCTTTTAGCAGTTGCCATCTGTGGATGGCTAAGTATTAACCAGCTCAGTGGAGTCAGGGTGACAGCCTTTTACATACTATCCTGTTGGTACCAGGTTCTAACTTGGCCTCCAGGAATAATCAGGTCACATTCAGGTTTGAAAGGCGATGAATGCAGAGGATTTTATTAAGTGATGGGAGTGGCTCTCAGTGGAAGGGGAGCTGGAAAGGGGATGGTATGGGAAGAAGGGGATCTTTTCCTGAAGCCCAGCTGTCTCCAGCCAGGCTCCTCTCCAAAGTCATGCCATCTAAAGTTAAGCGGTGTCTATCTGTAGTTTCTGACATGCAGTTGCTTCTTCTCTCCTGGACGTTCAGCCACTTCTTCTCTTCTCTCCTTCACTGCCACACCACTCTGCTCCTCTGTCAATGGAGTTTGGGGTTTTTATGGGTAGCGGATGAGGGGCATGGCGGGCTGGGGTGGTTTTGGAAAAAGCAACATTTGGGCAGGAAAACAGGGATAACTATTCTCATTTTCGGGCCACAATTTCCAGGCTGCAGAATGGAACCTTTGCTGGGGAACCATCCTCTTTTACCCCCTATTTCCCTGCCTCCTGTCTGTATCAATACTAATTATGGAATGACAGTTTCTATGGCAGTGATTTAGAGTTTGTTTGAGAGAAGTAAATGAGCTTCTTTGCAGCTTTTCACATGTTGTCATTGGCTCTGAAGTAGTTGATTAAATCTCAGTCCCTCAAGCATGCTCATAGACACTTGTAGTAGTTTTGATATGTATCTCTTGTTGCCTTGAATTGCTTTTTATCTTCTTTAAACATAACTGACTGGGCTAAAGGGAACCAGAGTCCAAGCCATTCCCTCTAAAGATGTTTTATACCTAGGATTCCAGAAAATTTTCCTCTTATATCTGAAGAAACCAGATGTTTGCACTAACTGGGGAATTGTAGAGTGTGTATGCGTGAATTATCATACAAAAGCACATTCAAAATTATGTGTCATTATGTTTTAAACATATAAAATAATAGCAAGAAAGAGAACACAAGTAGCTATTATTGTGTTAAAAGCATTGAATTTTTCATACTCTCAGTAAATTGTATATTTAAGACAGTATACTTAAAAAGTAATAAAACATTAAATAATGATGCATTGACTTGTTTACATTCCCAGGGAATAACTGCATATAAAACAGAAATCCAGGACAGTTTTAGACTTTGTTAATCTGTTTACCAATTATAAAATATCTAAGAATCACTCCTGAATGTTCCTTTTGGGAGTTGCAATATTGTTTTGAGGAGATCTGAATCACCTTTTACTTGTTGAAGAAAAATTGTTCACAAAGATTAACATGTGGATACCCAAAATGTCATATTACCATTGTGTATTTTGGTAAATCAATGTTTATATTTCACTTTTGTTGAATTTAATAAATTTGAATTTCAAAATCTAATTTCAAAGGAAGGCAATTAAATATTAAAACTGTTATCTCAAATAAAAACACTAATAATGATGTTATGATAAGAAGAAATTCATCCTCATTCTGATGGAAAAATTAATTGCCATTACAAAATGAAATTAACCTGAATCATCTGGTTTTGTTTGTTTGTTTGTTTTCCAGTCAGAAGTGAAGAAAAGAAAAGACTCTTATCTTCTTTCTTTCTTTGATTCCCCTGGTTCTTTCTTCTTCTCTAAGCTTATCTGATTGACCAAGCTGCTTAATAAAATACTATTGCAACATTTAAAAATATAAGTACTTGTATAATATTATGCTACAAGATACAAATGTAGCATGGAATAAATGAAAATAAATATTTAGATAATATGAATTCAATAAATAGGACGTCAGATTTTGGAATTCTTTCTTTACTGTAATAATTCATTACACCTACTGTGGATCAAAGACTTTTTCTGAGATTTTTGAAATTTTATTTACTGTATTACATGTTAATTTACTAACAAGCACAATTGAAAGCAGAGACAAAAATAAACTCACATTAGGAATTTTCTAGCTACATATAGGTATATCACGAACATGTCAAAATTTGAAGAGAAAAGCAAAAATATTTGTAAAGGATACATAATTACAGATTTATTAGATCACTTTAAAAATCTTGAGTAAATATTGCCTTTAATGTAGAAAATTCATACACATACCATTATGATAAAACTCAAGGGAGTCAAAGAATTACATGACAGTAAATGATTCCATATACATAAATAAAGAAAATTTACGTGTTTGGCCTAAACAATGTCGTATATGTAAAACAAGGCAGCTTTCCGGGATGCCAAAATTGTCACTCTAGAATTGCAGAGGCATTGGGGAAAACTGCCAGTCTGTGAGGAAGATCAAGATAGTCACATGGAGAGGTCACGTGGAAGGACAGATTACCAATGGAAAGATAGATTATGATTCCTCTCTTTTAGTTCAGCCATTTCAGTCTAAGTGAAAGAAAGTGAAGAAGCTTCTTGATGACTCCAATATCAGCTACCATCTAACTGCCACTATATGAGGGACTCCAAATGACAACAATTTAGTTTGGCCCATCAATACCCAAAATCATTAGAGATAATAATATATTATTTTAAGCCATTAAGTTTTATGACAGTTATTATGTAGAAACACATAACCAGAATATATATGGCTCTAATTACAAGAAAGACAAAATTTTTGAAGTTTCTGTGTAGGTTAATAACTAAAGGCTGCTTGCAACAGATTCCCTCTGTCTCTGCCTGTCTAGCCCACTCTATCTTCTTCCTCTGCCTATATATATATATATATATATATATGCATATATATATACACGTATATAGATATGCATATATATGTATAGATATATACGTATATAGATATGCATATCTCTGTATATAGATATGCATATATATGCATATATATACGTATATATACGTAGATATGCACATCTATATACATATATGCGCACATGTATCTATTTAAATATCTATATCTACACATATATCTACAAACACATATTTATAAATAGCATTGTTCTCAGACTGTCAAAATAAAATTTGGATCTAAAGTGAAAAGCAGTGTAAAGTGGAGGGTAAAATATATTAACAATGACAGTGAATATAAATTTGTTTGACTATCAACTTGACTGTGAAGTTTCTAGCACCATAAGTCAAATAAAATAAAATACTGTATATTTCTCATTATTAAAATAAAAGAAACACACTAACTACACAAGATATGTATAATTTACCTAGACTCAAAGGGAAATTTTGTTTTAATGGTGGATATTACACAGGTCACTAACCAACATAAAAACAGTCTCTGCCACTACTCATGAGTAATTTTTATATCACACCCAGAAGTCATAAAAGAAGATAATATGAAATATAAATTCAGAAATAAAATTTTAAAAAACTGAAAACTTTCTTCAAGCCATGTATCAAGTATTAATTTCCTTAATATTTGAGGAGTTATTAAAAATTAATTTTAAAATGTGATACTGGTCTGAGAAAGCATTTCACAAAAAAAAATGAAGCTACTTTAAATATATGAAAATATGCTCATCTCACTATTGTATTGGAGAATGCAAGTTAAAATAAAAAAGGATGCATTGTCTTCAAATCTCTAGCAAAGATAACATAGATCCAATGATATACCCCAAGGTGGAGGATGTCCCTTTCATTTCACTGTTGATGTGAATCTCCATGGTCATCGAAGGGCAATTCTGAAATAACTATCCAGCATGTCCATCTCTAGGACTCCATCCTACATAAATACTTGCATACATTTGCAAGTATTTCTATAAAAAAGATGGTCATTAACCAATTATTATTAATATAGTATTTTAGTCTAAAAAGTGATCTTTTATTAATAATACTAAAAGTAATATTTGACAATGCAAACATTGAAGTGGTATGTAATGCGTGGCAAAATACAACTATATATCTAATTTTGGAGCGATTTCTAAGATTTCTTCTTAGGTGTACAAATTAACGTACAAATCAGTATAATTTTTATTTCCTCACTGGTGTAAAAGAGAAACATGGCTGGCTGTGTGCATGTCCACATATATTTTTGGAGGAAATCGTGAGAAACTATTAACAATAACATATCTGTAAAATAGAATAGATAAATTATAATCGGAAGCTGATTCATTTTTACATAAACTTTTTTATTTGATTTTTTAAAATATCGTGCCATTATTTTTGAACTAAAGTAAGAAGAACAAAATAATTTCCAAATGGCTTCCAAATGACTTCAACAAACTAACAAATATGATCCAAGACCTGGATATTTTCATGGCTGAATTTAATGCATTTTACAACAGTGGTTTTAAATCACATTCCAGAGAGCCCTAGGATCGCTGATAGTTACCTGGTCCCAGTGTGGAGGCTGAAAGGGAGGAAACATGGTCAGAATTATGCTAAATATGGCCCACTCTCACCAGCTTCGATCAAACCATGTCACTTTTTATATTATAATTGAAGTGACACAAAATATTTTGTTTGAATGGAAAATTTTCACTGTTAGAAAAATTTGAAAATTCCTAACATAAGCGAACACATTAATAACATATCCCCTAGCTGTCAACTGTGCTACATAACAACAGTTGGATAGTTCTATTTTAAACTACATAATTCCATACAGATAAAGAGCTCTTTCTGAAATGTGACAGCTGTATATATGTATAAGTAAAGTCTCACACACCTATACCTCTCTTGTTTGAATATATTTTGACTATGGTTCAGTATCTAGGAAAACATAGGCACTTTAAGAGCCAAATTTCCAAACAGGAAAAATACAAAACCAAAATGTTTTTCATTTAATTCTGTAAGGTTGTCTGGGTT
Organism: Homo sapiens; assembly: GCF_000001405.40. Taxonomy (NCBI): domain Eukaryota; kingdom Metazoa; phylum Chordata; class Mammalia; order Primates; family Hominidae; genus Homo; species Homo sapiens. The sequence continues at coordinate 55,387,750 of NC_000010.11, forward strand.
TTACAAAACGGTTAGCAGTCATTTCACATCAGCCTGCCACATTGATTGAAGAACAAATTACTGGAACATATAACTTCATAGAACACACCGTGGTATTTTTTTTTAATACGGAGAGCTTTCTATTTTCAAGTTTTGGCTTAGTTTCCAATGTCTATGTTTGGATCATTAAATTTCCTTTCTAATTGCAGCTAAATATGTCTTCTACCTCACTTCACTTCTGGCTATTATTTAAAATGCATTTGGCTCAAATATTTGATTACAAAATGAACAATCTGTTTGCCTGTATGTGTCAGACACATTATTGTGTCTTCTTCCCCGTCAAAATCAGAAAAATAGTGGTCTGCGGAATAGATGACTTTTACTGACAATTTTCTCTTCCTATGTTCTGTAGCTTGGGCAGGAACGTTTTTCAGATGCTCTTGGAAACACCGCTTCACAAATATCAGTCTCTCCCGCCAAGCCAAATTCCTATAAATTGGGACTTCTTCCCCATATGTTTAACATTATTTTTAACCAGGATTGCCTACTGGATTCTTCATTGGATTCATTCTAGATCTATAACTCTTAGGAGCTGATCCTTCTCTGATGGCTGGTTGACCTTCATTTCTGTGCTTAATTTTCATTAACATTGTTCACTCTCTCTGAATCCTGTTGACTTGCCACTGTACTTTCCTATCCCCAAGGCAACTGATGGTTTCTTTGTTCTGTGCTCCACTGAGATACAAGATAAGACTTAAACTTCTGTCTGTCTGGATGGAGGTATTTTTATAGGATCTTCAAACAAATTAACAGGGTTTTTAGATTTTGCTGGGTTAATAATGAGAAGAAATGGTTTAAGTCCTAAATGCTATTCTATATGTACAATTACAGGGATTCTTTATTAGAAACTGATTAATATTAATGAGGAACTTATTGTTAATCAAAAATCCATACCTCCAGAGACTATGGTTTTACTAAAAAATTAAAGAAATGGAAGATAAAAAATCCACATATACTGTGGTGCACTTAATTTTTATGGAATATCAACCAGTTCCTAGACTAAATTTTACCAATATATTGGATAGAGCAATAACATTTAGTTTGTGGGAATATATTAAACTTTAATGTCTCCCCCATCATTTGGAACTGAGCCACTGGAAATTTGCAAGCCATATTGGGGGTTTGGGAGAAAAATTCAGAAATTATCAGATATGAGTTCCTTCTCTGAATGATAATTGTGGGAAATCACCTCATTGAATGAAGGATGAAGACCATGACTAAAAATAATGATTGCATTTCTTTCTTATAACTGGGTTCATATATTTGCATATGAACATTCAAACAATAACAAGAAGAATAATGTGTAGGGTAAATGAACTCCCAATGATGAATCAACCTTTTTCAGAGTCAGTAGCTGACATTTCAGTTTCCCTAAGGGAGAGTTTAAAAAAAGTGAATGGGGTGAGGAGAGTCGAAGAAATGTCAGCATGCTGTGTGAGAAGAGGGAAGAAGTGAAGACCTGTCAACTGAGGTGGAAAAATAGAGAGGACATGGAATATATTCAGCAAAGCAACTCTGTTAGACAAGCCAGTGAACACTACAGTGATTTTTTTTTCATTTTAAGAGATAATTCAGCCTCAAACTCAAATATTGTTGCTAAATTCTAAAGTATGTCTCTGTTATAGTCAGTTTCACCATCTAAACTTTTCCATTTCTAATTTGCGACTGTATTATTCCTTTGAGACATAAAATGATGGTTAATAAATATAAAATGAAAATGAAATAAGGCAGTCTCGAGTTAAAAATAGAAATATGTGGAGTTGTTAACAGAAATTCTACAAAATATTCATATATCTCATATTAAACTAGATTTTCCCCAATGCCTCTGCAATTCTAGAGTGACAATTTTGGCATCCCGGGAAGCTGCCTTGTTTTTCTTATCTTCATAAGAGAAATATCAAGTTACCTACAAAAACCTCTTGAACAATGAAGTCTAATTTTCAGCAACTCTCATACATATCATCAAACCAACAGTTGAAACAACCCTAAAGTCCTATCTTTGAAGCTCTAGGAGAAATATTAAATACCAAAAAATGCCATATCGGTGAAACATTTTAAAAATAAATATCCAAAAATCACTTGATAATCTCTTGCAAAATGTTGAATAAATTATAAATCTTGTTTCAATAGTAAAATTTTAAAATATTAAATTGTTTTAATAAGATTTTTAAGAATATTTTTAGATTTACAGAAAAATTAGGAGCAGATTACAAAGAGTTTCCTTATACTGCATGTGAGATGTTATTACAGGCACAACTCAGAGATATTGCGGGTTTAGTTCCAGACCACTGCAACAAAGCTAATATTGCAATTAAGCAAGTCACATGAGTTTTTTTTTCTTTTTTTGGTCTTCCAAGACATATAAAATTTATGGTTGCATTATACTGTAGTCTATTAATTATATAATAGCGTTATGTCTAAAAAACAAGGTATACACCTTAATTAAAAAATACATCTTTGCAAAAAAGTGTGAATGATCATCTGAGTCCTCAGTGAATCCTAATCTTTTTTGCTTGTGAAGGGTTTTGGCTTGATGATGATGGCTGTTGACTGGTGGCTGCTGAACGCTGGGGTGGCTATGACAATTCATTAGGTAAATCAATAATGAAGTTTGCCACATTAATTGAGTATTCCTTTCACAAAAGATTTCTCTGTAGCATATAATGACGTTTGATAGCATTTTTCCAACAGTTGAACTTCTTTCAAAATTGGAGTCAAGTCTTCTTAGTGTTGATATTTTGAGTTCCTTCCATGAATCATGACTATACTTGATAGCATCTAGAGTGGCAAATAACGTTTTCAATTTACTTTACCCAGATCTGTCAGAGGGATCAGTTTCTACTGCAGCTACAGCATTATAAAATGCATTTCTAAAATAATGAGACTTAAAGTAAAAATTACTCCTTAATTTATGGGCTAAAGAATGGATGCTGTGTGAACACACATAAAAACAACATTAATCTCTTTGTACATCTCCATCAGAGCTCTTGGGTGACCAGGTGCATTGTCAATGAGCAGTAGTAATATTTCAAAAGTCGGTCTCAACCCTTAAGCTTAAAACATTCAGTGAATCATTGTGAAAACAGATGTACAATCTTTGCTGTTTCATTTACAGAGCACAGGTGTAGCAGATCTAACATTAAGACTTAAGGACCCTGGATTTTCAGAATGGCAAGTGTGCATTGGTTTCAACTTAGTTACCAGCTGCATTAGCCCAATAACAAGAAAGTCAGCCTATCCTTTGAAGCTTTCCAGCCAGGCATTGACTTCTCCTCTCTAGCTATGAAAGTCCTAGAGGGTATCTTCCTCCAATACAAGACCGTTTTGTCTACACCGAAGATCTGTTTAGTGTAGCCACACTTATCAACTATCTTAGCTAGATCATCTGGATAACTGGCTGTAGCTTCTACATCAGGACTTGTGACTTCACCTTGAATTTTTATGTTACAGAGACAGCTTTTTTTTTTTTTTAACCTCATGAACCAACCTTCTCCAGCTTCCAACACATCTTCTGCACATCTCTCTCTGGCTTCATAGAATTGATGAGTTAGGGACTTGTTCTGTATTAGGCTTTGGTTTAAGTCAATGTTGGATTGGTTTGATCTTCTGTTCGGATGACTAAAATTTTCTCCATCTCAGAAATAAAGCTCTGTTTTGCTTTCTTGTTTTTCTTGCATTCACTAAAGTAGCAATTTGCTTCTTTTTTGGGGGGTGGGGGGATGGAGTCTTGCCCTGTCGCCCAGGATGGATTGGAATGGAGCAATCTTGGCTCACTGCAACCTCCGCCTCCCAGATTCAAGTGATTCTCTTGCCTCAGCCTCCTGAGTAGTGGGGATTACAGGCATGCACCACCACACCCGCCTAATTTTTTGTATATTTAGTAGAGACAAGGTTTCAACATGTTGGCCAGGCTGGTCTCAAACTCCTGACCTTGTGATCTACCCTCCTCAGCCTCCCAAAGTGCTGGGATTACAAGCATGAGTCACCACGCCCTGCCAGAAGTAGCATTTTTAATATTCTTCAATAATTTTTCCTCAACATTCACAACCCGGCTAACTGTTTGGCCTAAGAGGCCTAGCTTTCAGCCTATCTTGGCTTTCTACATGTCGTTCTCCTTAACCATTTTTAGCTTTTGATTTAAAGTAACAGACATGCAACTCTTCCTTTCATTGCAACTCTTAGAGGCCATTGTAGGGTTATTAACTGGTTTAGTTTCATTATAGTTGTGAATCAGCTGATAGAGGGAATTAAGAGACCTCGGGAAAGAGTCTTGGTGCAATCAGAACACACATTTATTTATTACGTTCAGTCTTACATGGCATGTTTTGTGGTGCCCCAACACAAATGAAATAGTAACATTAAAGATCACTGAACACAGATCACCAAAATGAATATAATAATGCAAAAGTTTGAAATACTGCAAGAATTACTAAAATGTGGCAGAAACATAGAGTGAGCACATTCTCTTGGAAAAATGGTGGTGATAGACTTGCTAAAAGTGAGGTTGGCACAGACCTTCAATTTGTAAAAGAAATGCAATAGTTGCAAAGTGCAATAAAACAAAGTATGCTTGTATTAACATTTTATGTTATTATGGTGCATTTGTCACAATTATTTTTAACTAAAGTTCATCTTTCACACAAATTTCCTTAGTTTATACCTAAGGAAAACTAAGGTATAGTTTTTTGTTCCAGCATCCAATCCAGGATTCCACAGTATAGTTGGTCCTCATGTCTCCTTAGGATCCTGTTTGAGCCTTTGCAATCAAATGTGGAGGAAATACATTTTGATTTATGTCCATCAAAATAAAATGATCAAAGAAATATTGCTATTTAATTTACATATGAGCAGATAGTCAGGCCAAGCATTAATATATTTCACCATAGGTAAATAAATATTTTTGGTTGCTGATATAAAATATATTGTATTTAAAAGTTGGTTAAATAAACAAAATTTATTTAAAACATTTTTTAGACTGTTTCATAGTAAAATTTGTAGAAGGCATTTGCAAATTAATATAAATAAATAACAGAAACTGAAACAAAAACTATTTAGCCCTCTTACAAGTCAGACATACTCTAGTGCTTTTAATGTATTAGCTCATTTAGTCCTCTCAACAATTAAAATTATTTTTCTTATTTTTGAGAAATCCATAGCATGCAGCAAGTATCAATCTAAGAACTAAAGTGTATGTGTGTGTGTGTGTGTGTGTGTGTGTGTGTGTGTGTATTTTTGTTTTTACTGAATTTTAACTTTTTGTTTTAATGAAAGTCCAAGGGCTTATGAGTTCAGAGATCATCTTGAATACTGTTCTTAGCATGATCATCATGTTAGAATAACTTGGGGCTTTAAATATAACACCAATATAGAGCCTTAGTCAGACTGATGGTCCTCAAATTTAGGTATAAATCAAAATTATGAGAAAGATTAAGATCACTGATTGCTAGGTCCCACCCTCAGGGGTTCTGATTCGGTAGATCTGGAGGGGATCCCAATAATTCATATTTCAAACAAATGCCCTGGTAATAACATTAGTCTAGACACCACACTGTAGGAACTACTGACTCAGAATACTAAAGCAGAATCTCTAGAACTGGTGGAACTAAAGCCTAAGCAAAATTTGTTGTTATTTGTTATTTTTGTTTTATGAAATTTTGCAACCATACAAAACTAAGGGGAGAATGAACCCCCATGTAACAACTGTAAACTGAGAGACCAAAACAGATGCTCTTTCATCAACTAAGACAGACCCTAAGGTTAAGGAAACAAAAGTTACCTATGGGTCAACGTTTCAGGGCCCATCTGGCATGGCACAATGAAGAATTTTCTGAATTCCTTAAACTACAAGAAAACCCACACTTTTGCTGAACTCTCTAACAATAGGGGCTATCAGTCAAATTATCAGATTCCTCCTAAATCTGACTTACAACCCAGATCACAACTCTGATTGGACCAATGACTGGCCTTACATGCATTCTTTTTGGATAAGCAACTATAGACCTTAAACCAGGTTCAGCAACTCATAGAAGCTGTGCACAAATGTCTTTTTGTCCTATAGTTCACATTTTAAAGTAAGAGCCAAATGCCACCTCATTTTAATGTCAAAATCCCACCCAAAAGTGAACATGGGATACATGTTACATATATGTTTTCCCATTTCACATGTGCTTGCCTCCCCTTACAAATATATATAACTTTTTTTTTCTCCAAATATGCAGAATATTTGTGACCCCATTGTGTCATAGGGACCCTGTGAGGCATAAAACCCAACCAGCCCCTTCCCTCTTTGAAGAGAGAGCATCTTCAGTCCATGCCAGAGACTATGTCTTCCAGGTTTGTTAGCGCATATCACCAACAAAGCCCTCTTTTCTACTATATAGCCATGTTGACTTCTTTGGACAATAGAATCAACCAGCTTCTACAACTATAACACTATTTTTTTTTATGTTACTACTATTCTTTCTTTCCCACTTTGGTCTCACTTTCTTTTCTTCCCTCTTCTTTTCCCTTCATATTTGTTTCTTGATGCTCTTTTTTATTTTATTTATTTATTTTTATTTCTGAAGTCTATTTGAAAGCAAATCCCAGATGTGATTTCCCTTATACAAAATTTATATGAATTTCTAAGTGAGAAGGCTTTAAAGCAATAAGAACAAAACAAAAGCAAAAACAAAAACAAACTACCACACCCTGGTTAATTACAAGATAGAATTAAAGCGCACCCTGCCCCAGATCTCAATATACAGCCAGGATTGAAAGCCTCCAATTCTAGTCCTACCTTCCTATTTTACATGAAAGAGACTTGCTTGAAGCCATTGAGAATATTGGCTGGAGGACTAAAATTAGATGTTTATCTCCTAATTCCTCAACTTGTAAAACATCTTCCAGTAGAAAATTAAAAAAAAAAAAACTTTAAAGAGAAAGAAAGTTAAGTGTAATATAATTAAAGAAGTAATGGTAAGCAGAGTGCTAATTGTCTTGTCTTTGGATTGTGTTTGGATATATTATAAAAATCAACAAACATCAACAATTTTGTCTCTATACATGTGCTCATTTATCAGTATCTTCTGGTGTGCTGGAAATTTGATTTAGTTAGAACACCTGGCTTTAGGTTCGCACTCAACCATATACTTGCTTCCTGCACCAAATTCTAAAACAAATCACTTCCTTAAGTTTCAGTTTCTTAACTTGGGCAACGTGAATTGTAATAATATTTAACTATGAAAATAAATGTTAAAGATCTTTATAAAATAACAATCACAATTAAAAAGCAGACAAATTGAAAAAAATGATTATCAAAGGGATTGCTTCAGTTTCCTTATTTGGTCATGACTTTGTTTTAGGGACTACTGATGACTACAGACATTTCTATTTAACTGCGTGTGTGTGTGTGTGTGTGTGTGTGTGTGAGAGAGAGAGAGAGAGAGAGAGAGAGAGAGAGAGAAAGAGACTACGTACGTTTTAATGTGTAGTTTTCTATGGGTTCTAACTTTAATGCGTTATAAACCTGTTTTCAGTCTTAATTGTTTTGTCTGGCTTTAAAATTCCCAGCTACTGATAGTTAAATCTGATATTCAGACTATTATGCAATTTTCTAATATTTTGATTTCCTCCTTTATAGATCATTACATGTGAAACAGACCATTGCTTCCTAGTTTACTGAAATGTGCTGAAATACATTGAAAATAAATTTTAAAGGTCACAATAAGTCCCCTTAAGAAGATAAATGGAATACATTAACATTTTTTATCTTAATTTTCTTAAACTTGCCAGACATGGGTATTTGTAATTTTTTAAGCCTATAGAATTTTCTCTAGCCTATAGAGTTTTCTCTAGCCTGTACAATTTAGAATAGGAGCAACTTCAAGCAGGTAAGCAAGTTTGGAAATTTTTTAGTTTAAAATTAGCCTATGAAGCCCAGCTTCTTTGTATTATTTTACATTGTTAAATAAAAGCACTAGTGAATCTGCATCAACACATAATAAAAGAAAACTACCCTCTCTGGGTTTTATTTACATGTATAAACAAAATTTAGTCTCACTATCCTCCTATATCACAAAAAAAACCAAACATAAAATATAAAACAAACTTATTATACAATGCATCCCAGCATATAAAAGATAATTAAAATTTAGAGAAATGTTTATATTCAATCTAAATTCTACCCAAAAAATGTCATATGCTTTCCACAACTAATCACACAAATGCTATATAAGCTAGCATAGTAATACAATTTTACAAAAAAATATATTTTAGCATTTTCTGGATTCGTTAGATAAAAAATAGAATAAAATTCTAAGGAAATATGTATCAATGTCTTTGGTACTTAGCATAATTGATTTATTGCTTTCTGAAAAGCTGTTTTCTTTCTCAGGTGAAATATATCTTTGCATCAGTGGAATTAAAGGCAGTATTGAGGTTTTTCCCTATCATTTATTCCAGCACTTTAGAAACATCACTCTGTTGCCTGTTTAACCCTGTAGAGAAAAGATTGCACCATATGTCATTCTAGGAAAACAAAACAAAGAACAGCCTTTGCATCTTAAAAGTATATTATCTATATAAACTATGTTTCATGCTAGCCTGTCAATATTCACACCATCCAGAATATATCTGGTTAGATTTTTATCAAAGTTCAAAACTTTATAGTGATAGTTTGTCCTTAAAATACAGCTTAAGTGGTGTCTTCAAGATTTACATCAAGGTGACATCCGATAGGCTGTCATCCTCAGAGTCGCTAAAATTGAGGTCTAATCGAGACCGGTAGGATTGCCAATAGAAAAGCCAAGCAAGAAATATTAGAATGATGCAGGCAAACAAAGAAAACTTTGATTTCAAATGTGAGCTGCTTTTCAAAACCACAGGGTCATACACTCTGATTTGCAGGTGCAGATTCCAGAAGCAGATACTTTGTACATGGTCAGCTTTGCACCCAGGATGAGAATTGTCAAAGATTTATTTACCCAAAGGTGGTAAGTCAAAATGGAGTATAGCAAAAACGTTCCTAAAGGCCACAAAATGCCTTTTATGATCCTTTCTGAACAGTGACACATGGAATTTCGCCCAATGCAGTATTAGAGAAAGGTTGGGGTAAGTAATTTCCTCCTAAAGGGGAAAAAAGCCTACAATTTTTGTATAAGTAACTGAATCCATATAGAGGCAGGCTGGCACTGAAAAAGGTCACACAGTGTGAGTATCCTTAGAAATAGAATGTTTCAGTATTGTGGGGACAAAGTTCAGCTCACTTAAGAACATTTCCTATTACGAACCAGTTATTTTCAAAATGAGACTGCTATGTAGTTATATAAATTACTCAACAACTGCAGTAGAACTAGATGTAATAGCTACAATAATATTTCTAGTATAAATTATCTAAGAATCATTTTTAACATATCTCCTTGGTTAGTATTCATTATACTCAAAGCTTGAGGGACAATTGAATAATCAGCCTCTATATTTTCAAAGTTGTTCTACATTGAGAGTTGTCATCATTTAGTTAAGAAAACTCGAAATTTTTGCACTTATGTTCAATGAGGCAGGTTGAAAAAGAGTTTCCGCTCTTAACACGTCATTATTCTCTTTTTTCAAATGTAATTACTTAGTCAATTAACGTCACTCTTCTGTAAAACATTTAGGTGTAAGTGAAAGCCATTTCTTTATCATCATACTGTTTTGTCTGTTACTTTTGTAATCTACCTCCTTTTCATAGCAAATTCTTTAAGGGGATAAACTAAAAGGACTATTTTATTTTACTCTTCATTTGTGTTTCTGTGTTTCATTTTCCTGTCTCCTGTATATTGCCTTTTATTTTTTTGATGGAGTCTTGCTCTGTCGCCCAGGCTGGAGTGCAGTGGCGTGATCTCGGCTCACTGCAACCTCTCTCGTCTCCCGGGTTCAAGCAATTCTCCTGCCTCAGCCTCCTGAGTAGCTGGGATAACAGGCGTGTGCCACCACGCCTGGCTAATTTTTGTATTTCTAGTATAGATGGGGGTTTCACCATGTTGTTCAGGCTGGTCTCGAACGAACTCCTGACCTCATGATCCGCCCGCCTCGGCCTCTCAAAGTGTTGGGATTACAGGCATGAGCCACCACGCCTGGCCTGTATACTGCCTTTTACATTTGAGGAGGTCTAGTGACTGACGTGAGGATGAATGCTAATGAGGTAACTAATGTCTCCAAAGGATTTATGGGAAGGACTAATTTTATTGCACTTTCTAATGCTCCCATTTGTAAAACCAACATTATTTTTGTTTGTTGACATGTGATGTAGTAATTCTATATGATATAGTAAATATACTGTGTCATAGTCCTCTTATTTATGCCCTAACACAAGTTATCTCCTTTTCATTATTTTGGATGTCAATAATTTCATCTGTTTTACCAAAAAAAAAAAAATCCCTTAGTGTTTCCCTTCTTTGTTGTAACACTTGAAAAATGAGTGACTAGCTCAGCAGGGAAACCCTTTAGCCTCCTGAATGAACATGAGAGGCAAGAAAGTGAGTAGAAGTGAGAAAGACTTAAAGTATTCAATTTCATCATTTCTCTAGAGAAAGCCCCTACAGATGTGGGGTTAGGCCAACAAAGAAGCACTTTGGTATTTTTCTGATCCTGATCAGTTACCCATGATAAATGGAATATGAAAAGTATTAAGTTCTATGAGGATGAGGCATTTTCATATCCTGTTGCTAGTTGCAAGGTTTCTTTTTTGAATAGTCTTTCCTCTTTTCTCTCTTGTCCCACACCCCAACCTATTTGAAGCAATAAAACATAATGATGCTAAACAAATAAATTCATAATTGTGTAAATATAATTTACCAAATCAAAAGATATAGACCCAGTCATAACAGGACCTATTTCTCTTTCTAGTTTTATTTCCCTTTCATTGCACTACTCACCATCTGGCATATTATATGCTTGGCTCACTTAATTGTTTACTATTTGTCTCACACACTAAACTATACCCTCGCCAAGTATTGGGGTTTTTTAATGTCTTTTTATTGCCATATCTCACAGCTGGAGACAGTAGCAGAGACATAGTAGGTACTCAGTAAATATTTGCTCAAATAATAAAATAATAGATAAACTAATCAGAAAAAATATGCACTCTTATGGGATAAGAAAAAGAGAAAGAACGCTCACATTCTCTAAAATGACACATACATATATGAATGAAAAAATGTTGTGTAGAATAACTATTATATTCAAGCATAATTTAATGAACAAGTTATCTATATGGCGCAATTACTCATCTTGTGAAAAACAGGCTACTGAAAAAATGATTTTAATTTTAATTTTTAATGTATATGTACAAAATTCATTTGGTATTCAAAAAGGCTTGGTTTGTTCAAAAATATCATTCTATATGTAGTAGAAAAAGTGTAAAACAAATGTTAAATATGCTTTATTAACAGATTTATGTCTTTACTTAATAGTAAATTCTTGGGATTTTAACTGTCAGCAAATACAAAGAAGAAGAAACAAATTTGAAATAATCTCACACAACATTTAAAATATTTATTTTAATTTTAGCATTGGAAAATATTCTGCCACTGGAAACACTACAATTTATGCTATGAGAACTATAAAAGCTCAGAAGACCAAATCTTTAAATAAAAAATAAAATGTGTGCGAATATTTTCCATCCAGCAAATTGAAACATTTTATTTTAAAATTAACAAAAACACCAACAGTTTTTTGAAGACCAGGAAATAATGACGACTAGGCACTAAGCACTCTCCACATGACAAATTCTGCTTCAATCCCTAGAAGGTGTGAGAATCAGAGCAGCAGGAGTTTTTGAACCCACTGACAATAATAAATCTTAGATTACTCACTTCACAATGCATACTTGATTTAGTGGAATCAAGAAAATGGATTGAGGCTGTCTGAAGAAGGTCTGATATATGAGAGGGGGTCTCTTGTGCTGTTCAAGGGCAAAAGCAAAATCATAAAATTGATTCTTCATCATATCGGTGGGAGTAAAAGGCTTAAAGTAAAATCCTTTAGTTCCAGTCTATTTTTCTTATGAGAAAAATTCAGTTTGGTTTTATGTAATATAAAAATATAATTCCACAATATAGCTTAAAATAACCTATACAAACACATTCAAAACAAAGCCCCACATATTATTATTTTGGCATTTTGAGTTTCTGATCCTTCCTTAATATCATTCTTCCAACTTTTCAACATGAGATCTTCAAAATTAGTGATGGAAACTCCCAGGTGGTTATTCAATATTGTTTGGGTATAATTTATTAACAATCTATGTGTTCAATCTTTAAAACTTCAGCAAATATTTCTGATTTTCTTGTTACATGCACACCTCATCCTGTTTTCAGACACATAGTATGACCCCAAACCTGGTCATCTTGGGGTTGGATAAGGGTATGTGATTAATTCTGGCCACTTGCAGGCTATAGCTCTTATTTGTTGGAATGGAGTCCTCCTACAGCTTGCTTTGCTCTGGCATGATGAATGTAAACTATTGTGATGTTGGCTGAGTGACTACACAGACCAGGAATTTCCCCTTCAAGTCTCTGCCACCAAAATGTGATGGACAAGTTATAGGAGTGAAAAATAAAACTTACTTTAAGCCACTAAAGGTCATGTGATTGTTTATCACACCACGTAACCTAGCATGCATTCTAACAGAGTGTTTCCTAACATATTCACTACATTTAGAATAAAACGAAAACAGAGTTGATCCATGTTATTTATGGCTTCTGTATTTGTGAATTCACCTACTCACTAAAATTTGTTTGTAACTCCAGAAACAATATTCTCCGTGCTCCCATGGTTATTCCTGAACAAGTGCAAAGCAACTAACAAAGACACTTGATATGCACATTCCCAGCTGAAGTCAAACAAGGCCCTCATACTGTAAACAAGTGTCCTTTTACAGTCTATTTAGTACCCTTTTTTAATTCTGCATTTTTTAGCTTTTTGTTAGAAACTTTGCAGAAGCCTGTCTTTCATTTAGTCTTTCATACTTTGAGTTTCCTAACTTGCCCTCATTCCAACATCTCTGCCCAGATGAATCCTAAACTAATTCAGTGGGACCACAACCATGTGCACTATGATTTCTTCACTCTAAAATCCAGATATTGGGAAACTGGGATTTGTTCATATGTGTACGTAGTGGGTGGCGTGGGAGATAAGATGGAGTTCTGTCTCCTCCTTTTGGTAAAAATATAATCCTACTGAAGCACTAAAAATCAAGCCCATTTTATACAGCTTGGTTAGGTTCTAGAATTAATGTTTATTATAGATTAAGTAGACATTTTATGGGTTGTCCTGGGAACACAACCATCATTTTTAATATTGTTTCTATGGTAAAATGCATTCCAAGTTCCAAACAATTGATTCACAAACTAGCTTCGGGAACACTACCAGCTTCTAAAATGTGGATTCCTGTATAGCAAATGAGTAAAGCATAGAAACAAAGAGATAATACCCAGGTTTTCTATCTTTAGTGTGCCAGGATGGTAGCTTAGTAATGATAAGACTATCTGCCTGGGCAGCCTGGTAAACCTATATTTACTCAGCACTTACTTATGAGATTAATTTTTTTTGTCAATTCTGCTACATAATTCGTAGTCATATGGGAGGAATTTGGCCATAGAAATGATAAAGAAGAAAATGACAGAATATATAGTGTTGTGATCCTGTCCACAGTACATCACTGTATTTGTAATGCAAAGGTCTGTGCCCTGACAATTATCTTCAGCTTATTACTGTAGCAGAGAATAGATTGGGATCACTAACGGACATGACTTACCACTTCTTTACTGGACCAATTTGCCTTACTGTGTGTGTGTGTGTGTGTGTGTGTGTGTGTGTGTGTGTGTGTAGTGAGTAGCCACTAGGTTGAACAAATCTGCCCAATCAGGCTGTGTTAAATAGATAATGCTGATTAGGGGAAGGGAAGAAGACCAGAAGTGAGATTAGAATTATTATCAGAAGTTTACATTTAATATGCATTATACATTTAGACAAAACATATTGATATTTGGCCATCAATCTTGCTTGTATGAGCTGTCTAGGAATGATGGAAATTAAGAGCTACAGTTCTCATTAAAACGTTTAATTTTAAACAAGGCAATATCCACATATTTACAGAATGGATGCTACCCTGAAAAATAATTGAATCTATTAGAGATTGTAAAGAAAAGCCAGGAGTCCACTGTCCACTGAACATGTTAATTGAATCCAACTTTGCAAAAAGATGAAGCAAAGAATGTTCTCTCTAATTGCAAAGGTCCCCAGCTGGGTACATATTTCTGTTTATCACTTCACACCTGAGTGACCCATGGTGTTTCATACAGATCCTGTTTCTTAGGAAAAGATTCTTAATTTGCAAAATAAGCCCATTTTGTTAGTCAATGACTTACACAGTGCTTTGGCATGAACCATTGGGAAGAAACTTCTGATTTATTCAATGAGATTTGTTTATTTATACCTAATAATTACATATATTTATGGGGTACATATATTTTGATACATGCATACAATGTGTAATGATCAAGTCAGAGTATTTACAATATTCATCACTTCAAACATTTATCATTTATTCATATTAAGATTATTTCAAATCCTCTTTTCTAGCTATTTTGAAACATACAATATGTTGTTTTCAACTGTAGTCACCATATTGTGCAATGGAACACTAGAACTTATTCTTTCTGTCTAACTTGTCTGTTTGTACCCACTAACCAACCTTTCCTCTCTCTCCAGCCTCTAATAACCATTATGCTACTCTCTACTCCACAAGTGAGAATATACAATTTTTGTCTTTCTGTGCCTGGCTTATTTAACTAAATATAATTATCTCCACTTCCATTGATGTTGTTACAAATGACAGGATTTCATTAATTTTTATGTCTGAATAAAATTTCATCATGTATATAAACCATATATTGTTTTTCCATTTATCTATTCATGGACACTTAGGTTGATCCCTGATACTGGCTACTATCAATAATGCTGTAAAAAATATGGGGGTGCAGGTGTCCCTTTGATATAAAGATTTCCTTTCTTTTGGATAAATACCCAGTAGTGTGATTGCTGAATCATATGGTAGTTCTATTTTTAGATTTGGGAAAAACAACCATACTGTTTTCCATTATGGTAGTACTGATTCACATTCCCCTCAACAGTATATGAGAGTTTTTCTCCACATCCTTGCCAGCGTTTGTTATTTTTTGTCTTTTTGATAATTGTCACTCTAACTGGGGTAGGAGATGATATCTCATTGTGGTTTTGATTTGCATTTCTCAGATAATTAGTGATGTTGACTGTTAACGGATTGAATGTCTTCTTTTGAAGTGATGTTGACTGTTGGACATTTGAATGCCTTCTTTTGAAGAATACCTATTCAGATTCTTTGCCTAGTTTTTTATGGGAATATTTGTGGGCTTTTTTATTTTTATATTTTTATTTTTTTGCTGGTGAGTTGTTTGAGTCCCTTATATATTCCAGGTGTCAGTACCTTGTCAAATGAAGAGTTTGTAAATATTTTCTCCCATGTTACATGTGGTCTCTTCACTCTGCTGATTGTTTCTGTGACTATGCAGAAGCTTTTTAGTTTAATATAGTACCATTTGCCTTTTTTTTCTTTTTATTACCTGTTTATTTGAAGTCTTGGCCATAAAATCTTTGCACACACCAATCTCTTACATCATCCCCTCATGATTTTTTCTAGAATTTTATAGTTTTGAGTATATTTAATTTTTAATCTATTTGAGTTGATTTTTTATATGGTGAGAGATAGGGGTCTAGCTTCCTTCTTTGTGCCCATTGAGACTCAGTTTTCACTGCACCATTTATTAAAGAGGGTGTTCTTTCCGCAATATATGTTCTCAGCACCTTTGTTTAGGTTCTCTATTGGTCTAGGTGTCTGTTTTTATAGCAATACCTTGCTGTTTTTGGTTACAATAGCTTTGTAGTGTATTTCAATGTCAGATAGTATGATGCCCCATTTCTGTTCTTTTTGCTCAGTATTGCTTTGTCTGTTTGACGTTCAAGATGATTTTTTTAAATTTACAGGCTATAAACGACATTAACAAACCAGTTTTAGAACCAGTGACCAGTATTCAAGTACTTTCTGAGGTTAAACCCCAGATAGAAGAAGTTAATCACTTTTATGTTGACAACAATCACTTTTTTCAGGTTGTGTCTGAAAACAGAAGTTTAAATGGATACAGTCTAACTATGGAAAGTTAAAGTTGCTGGATGGTTGTGTCACACTGTAATCTGTGGATGCTAATAAAAAAGAGCAATTACTGAGATGTAAATATAGACAAAATATGTTTAAATGTATAGTTAGATTAATAAGAATACCCCCCACATTTTCCTCTTGGGATATTGGAATATCTAGGAAGAGCTATCCTAGTCCCAATTCTCTGGGAAGTGCAGAATCTAGACAAGAACATACCAGTAAGCCTATAGCAGACGCCAACATTATTAACCAAACCAGCATAGCAACCCATGATGGTAAAGAACAACGTTGCACACCAGCAAAGTGACCACAGATATTATGATTGATGAGACACAGATGCTCTGTTAATTCCATGATGGAAAACGCTATTATCCTGTGACAGCGCTTAGGATTTTGCAATGGCACTTTTTCTGAGCGTCACTAGCATAATTTTACTTATTATAATCTGATGAGTATAAGATATGTTATTACCAAACGTTCTTTTTTTCTTACAGTTTTATATATAAAATGCAGTGATCAGACTATAAGTGGGGAGTCATGGCTCTCATATAATATGAATATATGGGTTAGAACTCGAGCCCAAAAAGTATAATACACCTCAAAGAAGATAGCTGGGGATATTGTGTATATCCTATTTCTAATGGCAAATATCTGGCGAATGTCATAATTATGTCTTTAGTGGGAATGAGTAAAGGACTAATATGTTTAACATTTGAATGTATAAAAATATAGATGCTTAATTTGTGTATTTTAATACAAGAAGAATTTTATATAAATAATATCTATAATAAAAAATACTATCAGACATACCTAAACCTAAATAAAAGCCTAAAGAAGTCTACATATTTATATTTAATCAGCATGCTGATACAACTAGTTATCTAAGTGAACCAAATATCATCAAATATATCTGAAGTCATATGAGGTCATTTATGAACTACAAGTCTTCTTCCACCTAATTAGCTTACAGTTGACCTTTAGAAAGTGGTACTTAATTGAACAGAAATGTTCAGAAATATGTTCTGAACTTGAACTTAGCACACATGAATAAACAACCAATGAAAAAGATTATATTGCCACACTATTTTGGAATCAGGGCATAAAATATAAGTCATAAAGATAGAAAAATGATGTTTTGGAAGTACCTACCAAATATGTGGATGAATTATGTATTTTCTATAGAGCGATATATATCTCATTAATGAATATAAATATATCTATGCACACAATACCCACATGCCAATTTATGCATATGTGTATATGTAGTGTGAGGTAACAGATATATATATATATATATATACAATTTAATGTCATGTAATTAAAGATAATGTGTAGTATTCTGTCATAATATAAAGGAGTAATCTTTATCTATGAAAGACTTCTTTGGCTTTAAATACCTGTCTTTTAACATCACTCATATGTGTCATCTTTTCAGCCTTTGCCTTTTCTAACTTAAATCATTTATCTATTTACTTCAAATTTAAATGGAAGTTGCCTCTGTATAATTTTTTGTAGTGTTCTAAGCTCATTAACATATAGTGAGTATCTTTGGAATTAACATGCAACTAATTACAAAAGGTGTTTTAACATAATTTGTATTTCTATAATTAGAATGATATGCACTTCAAAGAAAAGATGTAACTTCAGAATTTATAAAGTATAACTAAATATATAAGAAACTTTATTTATATAACAGATATTTATTGTACATCTACCATAAAAGTATTTTCCACACTACTCGAAAACCTCTGCAGACAGAACATACTGAGAATTCCATGCCATTATGGAGCTCCTAATTCTAGTAGTGGTACACAGACAATACAAACAGACATAATAAGCAAGAAAGTTATTTTTAATGTTAGAAGCTTACAAATGTTATGCAAAAAAAAAAGGATCCAGGTAAGTTTAATAGGGTGTTCTAGTAGTAGAAGTGGAAATATTTGATTTTAAATCAAGTAATCAGAGTCAGTGTCGATGAGAAAATTGTATTTGAGCAAAGATTTGAAGGAAGTGATGATAGATTTTTAGTCATGTGGCTATCTAGTTGGCAGCATGTTCCCATCTAAAAAAAAAAAGGCATAAAGCAGCAGAGTACCCAAATATGTTCATGTAATGGAAAAGAGGCTAGAGTTCCTGCAGGAGAATAGCAGGGGATGAGGTCAGTAAAATAACAGGGGTAAAAAAGCATACGATCCTGTATGCATGAGAGGACTGTAGCTTTTACCAAGAGTGAAAAGGGGACAGATAACTTATTTTTGAAGAGACAACTAAAGTGAACACCCACTTGTATAAAAGGTTATTCTGCCTGGTGTGTTGAGTAGAGGAGAACCAGGGAAACCAATTAAAAACTCACTGAAATATTTCAAGTGACAAAGGAGCATCATTTGTACCTTACTGGCTTTGCAGTGAAAATGATAAATTTGGCCAGATTTTAAAAATATTTTGAGAGATTTCATAATGGGCTAGTTACATATGAGAGACAAAAAGAGGAGTTAAAGATGATGCCAGGGTACTGGGACTGAGCATGTAACAGCATGAAGTAGTCATCAGATGAGGTGGAGACAATAGCAGATGTACCAGCTTTGTTGGTATCACTGAGGGTGCTACCAGGGCAATGTTAAATTTGAGGCACTTTTTAGGTATCCACATAGAGATCAGGAGTAGGCAGCTGGATGTTCAAGTGTGGAGTTCAGGAGAGAGGTCTGAGCTGGACATAGGTATTTTGGAGTCACTGACCTATGAATGGTATTTAAAGCCTTGAAATGCATGAGACTGACAGGAGAGTGAGGTGTGTTCAATAACTGAGAAATACCTAGGACACGATCCTATGATACTTCAACATTAAAAAGTGGTATAAAACAAGAGACTCCAGTAAAACAGACAGAGTGACAAGTTAATTAGGATAAAAACATAATGCCAAGTAAAGAAAGTAATTCTTTTTTTAAAAAAGGAGATAGTGATACACGATGCCAAATGTTTATTATAGGTTAACAAGCTGAGAGCTTAAAATGACCATTGAATTTGTCAAAGTGCAGATCATCTATGGCCTTGACATGATGAACTTCAGTGAACTGGTAGCAATGAAAGCCTGATTGGAGACGTGTAGGAGAGAAAGAGTGTTGAGGAACTGAAGATACATGGATGGTTTTGTAGAAAATGTGAACAGAGATATGTGAAGGCAACCGACGTGCCAAGATTGGTCGAGGGAATACCTCCTTTTTTAACTTAGAAAAAATAACTGTATATTCGTACATCTTGGATGATCTCACATCAGAAAAATAATTGATGATGTACAAGAAAAAGAGTAGGGAATGTCTGGAGCAATGTCCTTTTGGTAGTGACAGGGATAAAAACTAGAGTTCAAATGGGTAAATACTGCCTGATGTCCTTTACATAGAGAGATGGAGAAGTATTATAGACTCTTCTCTTTTCCACATGAAAAACAGCCTTCACAAGATGAGAATTGCTTGAAAAACTATCGTCTAACTTCTTTCATCTATCAAGCTTCCTGTCTATCATTCTTAAACCTCTCTAAGTCTCTATCAACAAAGATTAATGTGAATCTTAGGGGAGATTTTCTCCAGCAGGGAAAAGATCTGATGCATCAAGCAGTTATGAGGATTTACAGGCAGACTTCTGGCCAGTGAGCCTCACTAGTCAACCTCCAAAGTGCATGCATATATGCACATGCACACAAACACATGCACAAACACACACAAGCATGTGTACTGATTACTTATAAGACGCATTTCTTAGAAAGGAGAAGGCAACAATTCCTAAATTTCTGGAAAAGTATAAAATCTGAAAATGGATGCATGAAGAAATAAAGAATCTGAATAGTCTCTTATCTTAAGCTAAGACTTCAACAAGGCCTTTTGACCAAAGGCTATCATCTCTAAGTCTCAAGGACAAGTAATTAGCAGCAATTCATACAGGATGTAGGTGGAGGAGAACATGTAAGCTGCAAAAAGGGATCAAAGGAGATCTCACAGAGGCACCAAAAATGTGCTCTCCAACACTAACCATAAAGATACCAAGATGGTAACCAATAACTTGCCATCACAGAACCCAATGATTTTACAGTTAAGTTCTACCAAATGTTCAACTTTTGCTGCAGAAAACAGAAAGAGATAGAAAACCACTAACTCATGTTATGACTAAAATAAAATAACCTTGATTCTTTTTTCTTTTTTTTTTTTTGAGATGGAATCTCACTTGTCACTGAGGCTGGAGTGCAGTGGTGCGATCTCGGCTCACTGCAACCTCTGTCTCCCGGGTTCAAGCGATTCTTCTGCCTCAGCTTGCCGAGTAGCTGAGACTACAGGCACCTGCCACCACGCCCTACTATTTTTTGTATTGTTAGTAGAGACGGGGATTCACCATATTGTCCAGGCTGGTCTTGAACTCCTGACCACGTGATCCTCCTGCCTTGGCATCCCAAAGTGTTGGAATTACAGGCATGAGGCACCTGGCCCTGTCATAACCTTGATTCTAAATTTGGTAAAGAACAATATGAGACAAAGGAAAACACAGGCTCAATTTGCTCAAGAACATAAATTTGAGAAGCCCAAATCAAATACTAACTATATTCAAAATCACATTAAAATATTGAAGTAAGATTTATGCCAGAAATTTAAAAATGGTATACAATATGTACATATGCTCTAAGAATGGACACATATGCTACTCTACCCCCAGCTATCACAAATGCAGAGTGATTAACATACTGGAAATCACCATTTTTAAGTAGTTTCGTCTAGTCTCATTCCCTCTTACAACTCTATGATCAGACTTCCTTGCTATCACTTCACTAAAGCTCATCTTATCTAAGTCATGGATGATCTGCACTATGACAAACCCGATGGACAATTTTAAGCTCTCTGCTTGTTAATCTATAAGAAATATTTGGCATGGTGTATCACCATCTCCTTTTAAAAGTTTTTTTTCTTTACTTGGCATTATGTTTTTATCCTAATTCACTTGACACTCTGTCTTTTTTACTGGAATCTCTTGATTTGTACCACTTGTTAATGTTGAAGTATCTCAGGATTCTGTCCTAGGTGCTTCTCAGTAATTGAACACATCTCACTGTAGGTGTGTTCAATAGATCAGTGACTCCAAAATGCCTAAGTTCAGCTAAGACCTCTCTCCTGAATTTCACACTTGAACATCAACTGCCCACTCACATCTCTATGTGTATACATAAAAAGTGCCTCAGATTTCACATTGCCCCGGTAGCACCCCTAGTGAACCCACCAAACCTGCTTCATCTGCTACTGTCTCCACCTCATCTGATGACTACTCCATTCTTTTACATGCTCAGCCCCAGCACCCTGGCATCATCTTTGACTCCTGTTTTTGTCTCTCATGTTACTGTCCAATCATGAAATCACTCAAAACATATGCAGAATCTGGCCTATTTTTATGATTTTCACTGAAAAGCCAGTAAGGTACAAATGATGTTTCTTTGTAACTTGAAATACTTCAGTGGGCTTTTTTGTTTGTTTGTTTCCCTGATTCTCCTCTATTCAACACGCCAGCCAAAATTACCTTTCATGCAAGTGGGTGCTCATATGGTAGATCACCATACCGTTCAGTGGTTAGAAACAACAAAATAGATATGCATTCAGCACCATAAGTAGATGGTTAAAATATAGTGCTGAAAAAATAGAAAAGAAAAATCTATAGCAAATAGCAGTTACAGAAAGTAAAAACATACACAGCTCTGTGTATTTAGCAAAGTTATGTAAATATGTGCACATCCAGGGACATATATTAAGACATTAAAGTACTAATTTGCCCTTGAGAAAGCAAAGAATGAACATGGGGACTGGAAAGGAGGAACATATTAAATACGCGTACCTAATAAAAAAGAGAAATTTGTGCTTACAGGCCAATCATGATAGGAACTAAGAACTGAAGGCTATAATTAACTCAACTCTCTGAATGTGGGTTTTAAACAAAAACTGAAATGATATTTCCTACCTCTTAGGGTTATTTGAAGATAATTTTAGAAAATGTGTTTAAAGGGCTTAGCACAGCTTGGTATATAGTGAGTATTAAATAAGGGATAACTATTATGCTTTTGTTATTATTATTGTTATTATTATAGCTGATTTTTTTAACTCTCCCTATTAGGTACTTACATAAATGTTTGTTTTGCTCCAAAAATTACATATCACATAAAGCCATTAATATAAGCTGTAACTCACTTTTAGAAATATAATGTGAATTTTCTTGATCATATTTGAACACTGTATTGGCTTTCCTAGGACTGAGAAGGAGGCCAGCTGGAATAGGTTCACTTTTAAGTGAAATAACATGAGTGAATCTTCATTAATTTTTTTTCCTAAGTCTTCAGACAGGTTTAGAAGCTGGAAGTTAAGAGATACCACATAATCTGATATCATACTGGATTTCACTCTGGAGTTCCTGAGACTGGGGAATGAGACGAAGAATAAATAGCTTTGTAAATTCTATCCGTAATCAAAGCTGATTTGCTGCAGGATAATTTTTAGAAAAGCAAAACCTGGAGTCTTACCCCCGTCAGTCAAAAATAATATGATAAAGCAATTCTCTCTGATGGGATCCATGCTGGAAGAAATCCCAGATAATACAATGAAACATTTCCCGGAGCAGAGAGCTTGGTTCATTGTGCCAAACAATGGCTGGATCAGTGGCTATTATTGGAAAGCAGGCCTGCCAGCTTTGCTTTCTGGAGGCTGTCTGCTGAGAAAACAACTGCTGCTCAGTAATTAACTCCTCCCAAATGTCAGACAAGGAAGCAGCAACAGTGACCTCTTGTGCCACTCCCAGTCCCATTTCCCCATGTTCAAGCCGGTGTTTGCGTTTTCTAGGGCTATTACTAGACATGTACGCATTATTGCTGCTGGTCTCACAGGCCCTTCAAGTAGGCACCCTCCCAGTGTTCAGTTATTACTTTGAATGTGCCTTTACTGAAAAAAAATCCAAGCACTGAATAGAGTGAATACTTACTATTTTATAAGCAATTTTAATAAAATTGGGAGTAATGAAGGTGGAATTGAAGAAAGGAAGAAAATAAGATTAAAGAAATGATGAAGAAAAACAGGATTTCATGTCCTTAGTGTAGCAATTTTAGGTGGTTAATCATACCGGATTTGAATTTAGAAACACTAGTGGAATCTTTCCTTTCCTCCTTCCTTGTATAATTAAGTTAAAGTCTCTACATCTTAGTTTATTCAGCTGTAAAACTGTGCCCAGTGCTGCTAGAATAATTAAATCAAAGAAAATGACATTATCTTTTTAGACTGATTATCATAATACCCAGCACAAAACAGATTCAATAAATAATTTATATTTACTATAATTGTGAACTAAAATTAACAAATATTATTACCAATTATATGTAATATACCATGTTTCTTTTAGTAATAAATAGCAAAACAACAAGAAAAATTATTCCTACTATTACTACTACTTGGGTAATAATTAGGGTATACTCTCTCCAAGGCATAGTTAACACTTCTGCCCCTAAACTACTATTTGCCTTATCAAGTATTTTTTTCCCAGTGGCTATGAAAATGCATTAAGATGTCATTCATATAGTATTTTCTTTAAATTCTGCAACCTAATTTTTGGTCAGTTTACACTAGTTTTCAATATATTCTACTACATCCTTAGAGGTAAATTGACTACGAAACAGATTTTCTTCAATTATCCACTGTGTAAGTCAGATGTAACTGATGGCTTAGTCAAAGAGAAAGCAGTAAATTGTCATTGATTAATTCTGTAAATAAGTGATGAATCTATTATGTCTTAGGCATAATTTGTGTCTCCTTCACAGATAATCCTGCAGTTAGGTAAACTATAGAGGCTGCAAAATTAATAATTACAGAAAAACAAGATAAATTAAGATAGACATATAAATGATAGATAGATGCAAGGATATTATATATAGATAGGTAGATAAACTGTGAAATCCCAGTGGGAATGATTGGCTATTTAGAAATATAGAAAACATTTTACAATCTGCGATGTTTGAGACTGGAGGGGCTGGAAATGTTTACAAAGAAGAAGAAAGAGAATGATGATCAGAGGGGCAAATGTGAAAACATCAGAGCAGCATAAAAGAATCAAACGGATGAGGGCTTTATGAAATTCTTGGACTGAGCTTCTTAGTTTGCAAGTTCCATCACACATCAAGTAACTATTAAGCTGTATCTGGGTCTCTCACTGAATGGAGGGGATTTGAGATGCAGTTGACTAGTTGGCATACAATTAATAATTTTTTAGAAATTTAGATAAATGTTGACTTTGATTTTTCCTTTTTAAAAAAACCTCTGTGGCCAATATTCTCTTGACATCTCCCATGTTTTTGTAGGTCTAGGTAAGTTAACAGGCCTTAGAAACTGTACCTAGAATGCTTGATAGACAAAAGCATGCCTGCATATGTGCAATAGAGTAGAGTGGGGAGTGTGGCTAGGTAGTGAACATAAAAGAAGTACCCTGAGAGAAATCTTAAAAGGAAGACTGGTTTCAAATTATGAATGGCACAATAAAGTATTTTTTAAAAGAAAAGCAAAGTATTAGGGAGATCAAATTATATAAAGAATGGCTAAAGTATAAGGTAGAGGGATTAATAAAATGGAAAAAACATTGGAATACAAAAGAACACTTGAGAGGTTAACACAAAACTCTAAAAATATTTTATGATTTTTGCACTATTTCAATAGCTATGAAGACAAAAATATTAGAGAACCAGAATAATACGAGATGTTCCTGAAATTTTCAGTATTGTTTGAGAAAATTTCAGCCATATTTACTTTGGGAGTACACGTTGCTGCATACATCTCTCTAAGTTTCATTCCTGACAAAAGATTAATTCAACAATAATCACACACACACACACACACACACACACACACACACACACACGGCAAATTGAACTGCAACTGTGTCTGTATAATTGAAAGAATAAACAAAACCACTAGTTACCCTGAAGCTGCAGGAGATTCATACATTATTATAAATGATGACCGTCATCTAACATATGCATCATTAATGAATAAACTAAATCTTATGAAAAACTAGTTTAGTTTGTAAA
The DNA here is from genome assembly GCF_000001405.40 of Homo sapiens. NCBI lineage: Eukaryota > Metazoa > Chordata > Mammalia > Primates > Hominidae > Homo > Homo sapiens. The sequence continues at coordinate 55,413,090 of NC_000010.11, forward strand.
ACACATATAGGGTATATGTTAATACCACTATTTATATAATTCTTACCCAGCAGAAGATTAAAAATATTTATTAAGAATATAAATGCCTTCTACCAATTATTATAAATCTGATAGGAATTAAAATTAATTTACATTTATTCATTTATTCACATATTTGTTGAGCACTTATTGTTTGTTCCACATTTTCAAATCCTGGCAATAAAAAAAAAGGGATAAAGATTCCTCTTTTCATGGACTTTATGCTGTAGAAATAAAATATTTAGCATATTTTAAATATTTTAAATAAAATGTTTAGCATATTTTAAAGGACTATATAAGTGAATTTTATTAGGATGCTTCTATGTTCCAAGTGTAGACTTTTCTAAAAGGTCTATGATAGACAACTTTTACATTTAAAGGGAATAGACGAAGTCTGCTCTAAAATAGAAGGGGACTTATACTAGTAAAAATTCTATATATTTGGATTTATATATCTATCTATGTATTTTTTTCAACTTTAAACAAAAGAGACTCAGTTATTCAAATAAACGATACATTTTACAGTATTTCCTTTTGTTTCTCACAAAAATGCTATAGTAAATTTTGGATATTAAATGATATACAAAGCATTTTTCAGGTTAAAATGTGTCTTTATAAGCAAGTGTTGGATTGCATCTTAACACACTTTTTAATCTCAGAAATCTCTTCAATTTCTGAATACAAGTTAGCTCGGAAATATTTTTTTTAGGTTAGAGAAAACTGAATAAAATAAAAATCACATATTGAATGAAGAGTGGTCAAGTTTCTATCCCACTTTGAAGTTAGCTCATTAGCTCATATATATATGCAGTCAAAAATAACCATGTCTTTGTGTGTGCATTTGTTCAAGACATGTAATAGGAAATATTGCACAGATATAAGAGTAAGATAATATTATAACAGTTTATTAGAAAAAATGTATTTCAGCATATTTTTATCCCTAATAATATATTTTAAAATAGGAAAAAGTTTTTTAAAATCCTAAATAATGAACAATGGCTTCACAGTATTTAATTTTAAAATCATAAAATTTTTTTCTTAACAATGTTATCTTGCCTCATTAAAAGTGTGCCTTTGTATTTAAGTATGCTTTGTCATTAAGAGGATAGAAAATAGGTTAAATTTAAAAAGCCAACTCAGAATGACGAAGAACCAAATACCACTATAGTATTAGGTGTGTAGGTTGGTATACTCATACATTACTGCTAAGTAGTAGTAGTACAACCCGATGAAGAGTAGTTCTTAATGTTCAAAATAAAAAATCCACGATTCATTTCACCCATCAGTTCTATTTCTAGTGCCACTGAAATTTTGAAAGGAATTGCATTAAATTTGAATATTATTTTGAATTTGGATATCACATTGGGTAAGCATAGACATTATAGTAGTATTAATTCTTCCATGAACACAGAATACGTTTTTACTTATTTATGTATTCTTCAATTTAATTCTCAATGCTTTACAGTTTTCAGTGTACAAATGTTTCATTCCCTTTGTTAAATGTATTAATAAATATTTTATTCTTTTTGATGCTATTATGAGATTGTTTTACTGATTTCATTTTAGATAGATAATTATTGGTGTAAAGAAATGCACCTGATTTTTATATGTTAATTTTGTGTCCTGTAACTTTACTGAATTCATATATTATTTCTAACAAGGGGTGTGTGTGTGTGTGTGTGTGTGTGTGTGTGTGTCTGTGTGTGTGTGTTGTGTATAGAGTCTTTAGGGTTTTCTACATATAAGATTATGTTATCTGCAAATAAGGATAGTTTTACTTCTTCCTTTCTGATTTAGTTGCCTTCTATTTATTTTTATTGTCTAATTGTTCTTGCTAGTATCTAGCACTATGTTCAGTAGAAGTGACAAAAATGGGCATGCTTGTTTTTTGTTTTGGATCTTAGAGGAAATGCTTTCCCATTGATTATGTTAGTTGTAAGATGTTTATAAATGGCCTTTATTAAGGTGAGGGAGTTTCCTTTTGTGCCTAATTTAACAAGAGACTTTATTATGAAATGATGTGAAACTTTATCAAATGCTCTTTGGCCCTTATTGAAATGATTATGTAGTTTTTTCATTCTGTTAATGTGGTGTATTACATTAATTTATTTGTGTATGTTACATAAACCTTGTATTCCAGAGATGAATCTCTTCTTGTTGCAATATGTTCTTTATATTTCAGAGTAGAAATCCTACAGACTGTCTACTGCCTTATAAACTATCAGAGCACTGCTAAAATAATCCTTTTTAATTTTTTCCTTGGTCATATAATAAACAGAAAATTGCCCAATATAGTCTATTTTAGGATCCATTGGAAAAAGTATTTGACATTCCAAATACTGAGATTTAAAACTAGAGGAGATAAAAGGACGTTTTACAATTGGACACCTTTCTCCATTTCTGATTATGATAATCTCATTTCTCAAATTTCCACTTTTCTAAGTATGCTAAACAAGGGTCACCAATTGTATCTATTAACTAGCTATAGTAAATCACTAATTTTCAAGTTAGATCATATTAAGGGTTTGGATACCAGGATGAAATAAAATCAATGTCCTCATGAAGCATAATGTTGGAGCTGGAAGTTGGCCATGATTATCTTGTTTTCATATGTACTCTCAAAAGTACATATTTACCTTGACTAAAGGAAATAGAAATGACTTGTGTTTGGGATTTTGGCTTAACATCTCAATGGGAAGACTGAGGTACCCATTCATAAATAATCTGCTAATTTAATGAGTTGACTGAAAAATGTTATTAGGACATTTTGAGGTTGTTCCATGAAAAGTTTGTCTTAGCAATATCTATAAAGAGCCATATTTTTTTTTCTCAAATTTGCTTTTGTCGATAGCAAATTTCAAGTTTCAAAAACAGGCTCAACATTTCACAGTTGGGAAAACCCACACTGTTAAAAGCTTTTAAGGCAAAAAAACAAACAAACAAGCAAACAAACAAACAAACAAACAAACAAAAAACTTGACATCTTGACTCCCAAAGAAAGACATATATAATATACAAAAAAGTAACACTAAAAAAGTAATTTCACTAGTTTTTCATTATAAATACTAAAATTAATAGGTTTTATGCAATATTTTCTATCCTTGTTCTTTCCCTTAGTAACATCCTCCACAACCCCAACAAAACAGAACAACAAGAAAATACCTACATTCTCCTGGTTATCGGAACTTAAGCTATTATAGTTAGCCTCAATTCAGATGAATAAGCAATGATAACCATTGTAAGTAAGCCTTGCTATCCATCATATTCTCATGGAAGAGAATCTAATGTAAATGAAAGTGTTTTCATTTTTATTCAGGATGACTATGTAATTACATATGTCATCTATCACTTCTAGGATCCTCCTAAAATAAAATTATGATAGCACAAAAATGAATAAATTGACAACAGTGAAGAGAAGAAAATGGGGTTCAGGGCTAAGGGGTGGGTATCAGGGGAATCATCAAACTTGAGGAAAAAGAAAAGCATATGGAGCAATTTGAAGGATAAAGTTGGCAGGAAAAGCTAAATTCAGAGTTTAACAGGAGGGCCTCGTAGAGGTGGGACTCAAGATCTTTTCTGAGGGCTTTGCTGCTGGGTTAAAGTTAACCCTGGCCACAGAGAATTAAAGGGACAGGTGAGGCTGAAAGCAATCAAAAGTTTACTTGAGTTTCTGATATACAATTTCATATATAGACATCTAAGCTAGTGTCTGTCACGTGATGTCACTACAGAACAAACAAAATTCCTATATTTTCTGAGATCTTAATTTGTGAGTTTAATAATGCCCTCTTGGATAAATAAAAAGAGGCTCAGTGGAGAAACATGTTGACACAGCATTGTGAAATTTTCTAACAGGGACTATAAAGACATATGAAAAGCAAAAGGGTGTCAGTAAAAGACTTTGTATGTGTCAAGCCTAGCACTCATGCTGAGCTTTTGTATGGCCAATGAGCTAGGAATATTTTTTAATTGTTTAAAAAAATTTAAAAAACTGTATTTGTGACATTTGGAAATTGTATCATATTCAAATTCATTCTCCATAAATAGCTTTATTGGCACATAGCCACTCTTTAATTTTCACATATTATCCATCGCTGTGTTAGCACTGAAACTACAGCAGCAGAGATTGAGATCTTGTGGCCCCCAAAATAAAAATTCACCAAATCATAGTGCAGCTATAAATAAAACTAAAATGAGAAAGACATTATAAGCAAAGAATAACCAAAAGGAAGAAAGAATTCTTTGGGACTGAAGGTAGGAAAATTTTACCTTTGAAGTGCTTAGGACTCAAAAGCATCTAAATTATAAAAAAGGAAAAGTAATATGTAAAATATAAAGCACAAATAATTGCTATCTCCCCTTTTACAGAGGTATTTGCTCATGTGTATTCTATAATACAAAATGGCAAAACAAAATAATGCATAATAAAAGAAAAAATCTTTTATTTTAGCAGCCATAGTAGGGGATAGAAGACGAAATGCTCTTAAAGTTTTTAGGAATAAAAATTATTCATAAAGCTAGGATTCTTTAGCCAGAGAAATATCAAAATATAGGGTAGAATAAATACATTTTCAAACAGACAAGGACTCAGAAAATTTATTTGCTGGGATCCATTTTTAAAGTCTTACTTGAGGATATATTCCAGCAAAATGAAGGGAAAAAAAAAACAAGTGAGATTGGATTTTGGAAACAGAACCCACCCAGAACACAACAAGAAGAGAAGATTTAGGATTAGAGTTGTACTTCATGTTTAAATGCATCTTATTGTTTTTAACAAGAAATAATTTTATGCTTAACCAGAAAAAAATGCAATTAGTATCTCAAGAAAAAAAATAAAAATTCACCTAATCATTGTGCATATATAAAGAAAACTAAAATGAGAAACAACTTTTAAGCAAAAAATGTCCAGTAGGAAAAGATAATTCTTTGGGATTGAAGGTAGGAAAATTCTACCTTTGAAGTGCTTTGGACTCAAAGCATCTAAATCATAACAAAAGGAAATGTAATCATAGAACAGTACATGGTCAAGAAATAAATAAAGGGTATAACATCATAATAATAGTCATAATAATGAAAGTGACTTTTTTACTACTCTTCAACATTTATAGCCAACCTATGAACAAAGAATGTCTTGTTTTTATTTTTAGTGCAGAATGTAACTGTTAACAACATTAGAAATATGAAGCTTTTCTGAAAATAAAAGTGCTGCTGATTGTGGGAAATTGGAGTTGGAGAGGAAAGTCAGGGCACTGATACTCTCATTCTCTATGGCATATAATTGGAATACTGCCTTATGTGCGTAGTGGGATCAAAATAATGTCTAAAACGTGGAAAATAGGGACAAAATTATACTCTAAAATAGGAACTGCAAACACCAGTGCCTAAGGCATATCAGTTAGTAAAAGAAAACAGCGAGTGTAAGAAAATGTATGCTGGACTGGTGCTATTGCAAGCAGCCGCCCACCAGATATTTAACTGTTTTTTAGCACATGATGGAGACCACACAGAACTCACAGGCAAGATGGGCCTCTAACTCTGGATGACATTTTGTAACTTCATATTTAAGGTTATGAAATAATCAAAAGAAGAGGTAAATATGACAATATAAGAATTTAATATTAGAAGAAAAAAGAAATGAAAGTCATAATAAAATCAGACTTTTATCTTTCATGGGAGAGATTTGACAAGTTCTCTTATTGTTGATAAATTAAATAAGTATTTTTGAAATGTTGGAGGCAAACCTTAAAATAATTAAAGCAGAAGTTATTATAAAGTTTAGCCCTGTAGATGAGGAAGAGTTGGAGAATGCTGTTTTCCTCATGAATTCTTTTTATATATTCCTACTTTTGAAAACATTATAATATCTACGTATTATATTTGTTTTATAAGGTTGAATTAAAAGTGTGACAAAATAGCAATTTTTTAAACACAGAAAAGTTTATGCAGAAACCTCATATATCTCTAAGTGGGTTTGTAAATTGAAGCCCAGCATAATAAACTTCCTATGATAATGAGATGGCAGACAATACAGCTGTAAGGCATGTGAACAAATGTGAGATGGCTAAGGTAGAAAGCGAAATGGGGAGGGAGGCCAGTTTGACGGAGCTGAAGTAGAAACTGTTGAAGGACCAATAATGAAATTTGCTCCTAGGACAACAAATAAATTTTCTATGTGGGATAATACCATGCTTAGTTGTAGATTGCACGGATTTTGATGACAGTAAGTAAGCAGGTGTCCATAGATCTTCCAGCATTACAAAACTCCACACAATAAGGTATCCCATGAAACCATCTATTAAACAGCAATACTAGGTGATGTGAACTGTAACAGCAGTGAAAGAGAAACATCTGAGGAGAGATTGTTTGTATTTCTTTCCACAAGTCAATGTTAATAGTTACTGACTCAATGGAGAAAGAATTGCACTAATCAGATAGTAGCAGTTATCCATGGCTGTAAGACAGGAAAAAGGAGTGAAGATATTCTCACAATAGTGGTTTAAAGACCCAAAGTCACGTTCATTTAAAATGAGACTTTTGAAACTCTGGTGCCAACAGAAATGATTTTTTCTTTAGATTTTTTTCTAGAACTATCTGTACACACTACTATAGCACATACCCATTTCTTTCATATTATCTATAGTTGCTTTAGGGCTACAAGTGTTGGAGTTGACTACTTGGCAACATGATCACATTGGTCTGCAAAGATTAAAATGTATACTATAGTGCATTTTATTGGGGGAAAAGTGCAAAAAAATATGAACAGATAGTAAAAGACAAATTAGGAGATGAAACATGCTTCAATCTTAAAACGGAGGTCAAAACAAATCTGGCCCCCTCCAGTTTTTGCATGGCTCATTAGCGAAAATTAATTTGCATTTAATAAGTTCAGCAAACATTTAGTAATATTGTTAAACATTTATTTAACTCGAAAATCCGCTGGGTAGATGAGGGTTGACTGATCTAAACTGGGCTTGCATCCATCCCACATATTGCTTATACTCCTCATAAGACAAAAACGTTAGCGTATGCATTTTCATTTCCTTCAAAAGAATATTTAATTACATGTGACAATTAAATGAAATTAAAATTTGTGTGTCAATAAAGTTTTACTGGAGAGCAGACATTTCCATTTGTTACATATTATCTATAGTTGCTTCGATACTATAAGCGTTGGAATTGAGTAGCTGGTAAAGCTCATATGGTAAAGCTCATATGGCCTGCAAAGCTTAATGTACTTACTCTCTGACATTTTACAGAAGAGTTTGCAGACCCCTTCCCTAGGAGGTTGGCAAGAATGAGAACTCTCAGTAAGCTGAATTTAGGGTTATGTTGACAGGATCAGTAGGTATTGCATTTTTTTTCCCTTCATCTTCAGAGTAGTACCTGACATATAGTTGCCTTGTCTGCATTTAGGAGGGGGATGACACGCAGAGAAATCCCAAGGAATCACTTTGCTATTTTGCTTTGTCTTATTTTGTTTTTAGCTGTCTTAGACTGGAGCATGGGGAACAGGAAATATAACCCAAAGGTCCACCGATTAACATAAAAATTAATTATATTTTACCTATATTTTACATGTTATCTTTTGTCTTAACTTTTATTCAATAAAATGTATCAAATGTAACAATGGCTTAAGAGAAGAGGCCCATGTGAAAAATATTACACCAAATTCGACCTAATGATCAACTACAAATCAGTATTTACTATATGTCAAGCATGGGGCTAATTCCTAGGAATAATAACCAAGGAACTTACCACGTAGAAAAATGAAAGCCCAGAAGAAAAAGCATCAAGAAGATAAATTAAATGATTATCTGCTTTAAAATTACTTAAAATTAACAAACAGGACAAAAGACTGTTTGTGTAAAAATATAATAGGCTAGAAACTATTTATGGTAAATAGACAAAGTTTTTGAGCTAAAAATGAATTACAGAATGAAGGAAATTCTAAGACTGGCCTAAGATAGTTGCAAAGAGGAAGGGGGTCTAAACCCAACTGATCTAAACATATGAAGTCAAAATATATAAGATGCTGCCAAAAAGAAGTCAGAAAGCATTCAGTAGGATGTTTTAAAGGCAAGATGATTACTCACAGAACCTTTTAAGATAAAACTCAGATAAGTCGAGGCAAGAAGATAAGACCATAAGATTTACATTAAGAATTAAAAAAATTAAATCAATTTAAAATTGGATATCTAATAAATTTTTTAAATGAGATAACCTGAAATATTTATAAATAATATTTTATTTTTAACAAAAGTAGAAAAATTGTTAAAATTATTTGCGTAAATTTTAATATATTTATTCATATATATTTGTATATAAATTTATATATATTACATATGATTTTCATAATATGATAAATTTACATCATAGCTAAAAGAGAAAATCATTTCATATAGCATACTAGATTTGAATCTATCTTCTACTAATAACATATCTGGAATTCAAATATTAAATATGGAATTTTATCAGGAGACTAAAATGATCTTCTGTGACTCACTGCTAGAGAAACTGATATGTTAATGAACATCATTTTATTAACATATTCCAAATTAATTAATACTTTCATCATTCTAAGAAGTTTAAAAAGAAGCATCTGTTTGATATTTACTAGAGATGATTTGGTAGATAACCTGCTTATGTGGTTCTTTTGTTGTGAATCATATTTTCTGACAAATATTCTAAACATTTCACTTCAGAATATTTTATTGTTTTTATTATCACACAAAATTATTACTTGGGATTTATCTATTTTGTAGATTTTCTTCCTATATGCACAGTTGACAACAAGATAAAAATGGTATTTCTATTAGCCCAGTCAATTAGCATATTTATAGCAGATTTTATAATGCCTTTATCGAGATATGATTCATTTTTCATAAAATTTCCTTTTAAAGTATGTAATTAAGTGGCTTTGAGTATATTTAGCCCAACCTTCAGCATTGTCAACTTTTAGACAATATGCATTACTCCAAAAACAACTCCATACACATTAACAGTCACTCTCTATTCACCGCTACCCACAGCCCATAACAACCACCAATCTAAAAACTGTTTCTACAGATTTGCCTATTTTCTGGACGTTTTCAGATTATAGCCTATAAAGTAGATATTCATTTGATAAGAAATGCCTTCTAACTGAAATTATTCAAAGATACCTTAAAGAATAGTCAGCAGAAAATTTAACAAAACAGAACTATATAGAATCCTTATAAAATGAAGAGGAAAAGGCACCATATTTTGAGTTGTGCATGAGAAACCATCAAATATGATTCCTATACATTCCAATAATGTTAAACCATTCATTGATCAACAAAAGCATGGTTTTACCTATATGGTATGTCATATGGAACATTTTAGCCAAGGATGACAAAGTAGGCAAGTAGTCTCCTCTGGGATATAAATTGTAGGTTAAATGTAATGACCTTCCTCTAACCTGCAGAACATGTCTCATAACTAATTTAGAATTAAAAATAACACTCTATTTTAAGTTGTTATTAGCAGTTTAGACTGTGAAAGAAATCGAAAGATCTTTTCCAACATAGCAGCTTATTGAGTTCAGGTTTTGTTAGGAACAAGAAGGCAGAGTATATTAAAATAATCCAATGGTATGTTGTGCTCGGCATGGGAAGAAGAAGGCAATAAGGAATGAGGAAGACAGAGAATTGAATTCAGCATATAATGTGTTCCAATACCTATAAAAGGTAGACATTAATAAGTTTATTTTATAGATAAGAAAGAATGCCAAAGGAAATAAAACTAATGTCACATAGTTCATAATTTTGCCTATCACTATAAATCAACAAAGGGAAAATAATAACATATTGCTGATACACTTGTCAAGAGACCCCTTACTCCACATAAAGTATGTCCAGTATAATTTAGAGTACAATGTACATAAATTACTAAAAATAAGGACTATAGAAGTTATCATGTATCTTATTTATACCCAGCAGCAACCTGGACTTACTCATAAATGTGATCCCTAAAAGAAGATACATTGTTTCCTAAAGGGTCACAGTAAAAATTATCATAAATCTGTAAATTATTTAATGATTAAAAAAGTTTTGCTTTATTTGTTATGCTTCTCTGGGGGCTAAGGGTGAACAATAGATAAAATTAACACACTTTAAATGATTTACTTGTTTAAAATGTAAAGGGAAGGATGAATAAAGAAAAGGCAACAGAATTCCTCGAAGTAGGATGCACTGTAGGGTATCAGATATAGTTGTATGCATACAGAGAGAACTAAAATTTTGACACATTAATAAAACGATAAGCTAACATGTCAACATCTAAGATGCCTATATGTACTATATACATATAAATTTTGCAGGGCTAGAATGAAACAAATGGTTGAGGAAAACCAAAAAAACATACATGTGCACATATATGCCTATAGTCACACTAAGAAAGCACACTATTTCCAGAGCTAATTAGCTCACTATAAGGTAAAAGGGGGGAAACTCCTCTGTTTAGAGCAAGGAATACTAACTGCTTTCTATATAGGAGCTTGTTGATGGAAGGCCCATTCAAGGCTGGAAGCCTTACCACCTACTAGACTACAGAGGATGGAAATTTTCTGATCTGTGAAAAATCTAAATACGCAACATACCTTGATGTGCAGCAGGGGCAGACATAGCAGGACAGATAATAAGATTTTAATTAAGCAAGATACTTATCAAACCTCATGTTTTTATATTCCAATAACTTAAATGCTTACATGTCATAAGGACAAAATTATCTTCATTTTTAAAATGTAAGTTTTTAAATATAAAAGGAAAAGCTTTAAGAGGGTATAAGCAGCATCAGTTTACACTTTGTTTTCAGTTTTAAAAGGGCTTTAGAATCCACAGTAATAATTCTGATGTGTTGACTACCAGAAATTGAGGAAGACACACACAAGCAGAAGGTCTAATATCTCAAACTATTTTGTCCAGATCTATTTTTGCATGAGGCTAAGTGAAAGATGTTATGTATGACAAGATGTCAAACTCCACAAGAAAATGTATGAGAAGATGATAGTTATTCCTTCTCCAAAAAGGAACTCTAAAAGTGGCAAATGAATGTCCCGTTTCAAGATACACACAATTATTTTGGGATCTACATCCCATAATTGCTATTGGTGTGGTTGGGATAGAACTAATTATTCTTTGTGCTGGATTTGAGGCATTGTAGTGTGTGCCCTGGTGATGTCAGGGGGTATCATGAGACCCTACTTGGCTTATCTTTCTTACACAATCAAAATTAAAAGTTGGATGTTGGCAAATGGCTAGTAGTGCCCTTAGACCTGAGAAAGGCTGCTTCTGTCCTGGTCTTACACTATGAAAGGTCTCACATATTGCAAATATTAATTAACTAAATAGCCCCAGGGCATCTTTTCTGGCTCGCAATTAGGTAACAATGCCTCATCTAATTGTAGGCATCTACCCTGCTAATGAACACTTTCCAGGCTACAGACAAATGCTGCCTTTTCTCATTTGCTACATGTCTTCAAAACATAAGACAACCTCAGCCCAATTCTATGAATGCCTGTGGGTTGTACTAGTATTTATGTTGGGAACTGCTTTGGTGTATAGGAAAGAGCTGGAAAATCTTATATGAGAAAAAATGCTTATATAAGAAAAAAGGCAAATTAATTAATTTGCCAAACTCTCACTCTGAGGGAATAGTTTTCCAGAAGTGCCAAACATCAATTTCTAGGCCTCTGCTTGTATTCCAATTACGTTTTCAAAGATAGCCATTAATTGGCATCGTATTGCAACAGTTGATGTGGCAATTAAAAAAAAGTGTGATATTAAAAAATATAATTATTTATACGTTTACAGATATGAAATGGTTTGCAACTAGATGGAAAATGAATTGTATAATTGCAAATACTTTTAAGAAACAGATCAAATTATAGAAAGTATTAAGGGGATATTATTAAATTGAACAAATGATGCTTTTTAAAAGCTCATATCTCCATGTAGAAAAAATTAGAAATTAAGAAATTCTGAAATGACTTAAATTTTGTTTTAAGACAAAGAGTAATCACTATATATGCTCTTAAATTATATAATAGAACTAAACTATTTAATAATACTTAATTATAATTTATTATGTGACTCCATTATCATTTTATACATATTTCATTTTCAGTCTAAGTATTGTTTGTAAAATTTTATTGACAATCTCTTTTGCTAATGCTGCAGAATAGGAAAATTTCTCCAAATTAAAAGTCATGGAAAAAACTAACAAAGAACTACAATAGCTCAAAAATTTTATGTAGCAATAATGATGCTAGAAAAAAATGCAAAAGTGTTGATGTATTATCATAATTAGAGACTTTCTAAAATTAATAGCACATATAAATAGCTATATTCAGAAAACATACTATTTATGTAAAAATATTGTATTCATACCTTAGAGAAATCATATAACAATTTTCCACAAATTCTCAAGTGTATTTCTTTCATTTTATTGCTAATCTAATGTAAAATATCTTTATCTCAGTTTTAAAAAAAATCTTGTGGGTCTGAGAAGAGTTACCCGCTACTAGCTTTTCACACACACACACACAAAAAAAAACAGTGTTACTCATTAAAACTTCTGATATCTGAATCAGCAGTGGCTTTTATTCTAAAACTTTTTCAAAGGATCTGATTGAATGTTTGTCTTATAAGCTATTAATATATGCTGTGAAATGTCAAATTTATGACACAAATGAGTGTATTTTGTTATGACAAATGTCAAACTTATGACACAAAATGAGTGTATTTTCTTAAATTAAAATTTCAAATTGTAAAACGTTTCTATATTTGCTCTTACTAACTGAAAGATTAATTATATGTGCATATATGTGAAATAAATAAAATGGTATAGTCATAGCAAAATACTTATTTGTTTTAAAATGACTTGGAAAAATTCTAATAAACCTACACATGGTAAGAACAATTCACTTTTTCAAGAAGTATAACACTATGGTAAAGTTTTTAAAGTAGGTAATCGTGACATGAAGGGGAATAAGAACTACTTCAAAAGCTATAATTAAATGCATTATGTAAAAATTTTTGAAGTACATGTTTATACTTAGTTTCAGGACTTAACGAAGCAGGATATTCCCCTGACCTCTTGGTGGGACTCGTGAAGGTAGTGCCGGGTTTACTCAGCCCACAGCTCTCAACTCCTCGCAGGAGGGAGTGCCTGAGCCAGTGAGGCGTGAACAGGAGTACACCAGCGTTTGAGCCATCTGGCTGCTCTGGTGCCGGCAGGGGTGAACTGCACTCAGTTGGACCCCCTGCATCCACCCCTCATGGAAGGGGTCACTCAGGTGAGCAGGTACAGGAGCAGGCAGAATCTTTGGGTGCTGGCAGGAGTTAACTATGTGCCAGCCCTGCAGCAGCATCTGTGGGGGTGCCCGCAAACCCGGTAGCCCCAGAGGGAGTGTTACAGTGCTCTTTAGCTCGGCCGTCCATGGATGGTGGAAGGGTTAACAACTCAGTGGACCCTCTGCCTTTTCATGTGAGGTGGCTGCCTTCCAACAGCGAGGGCAAAGGGTCAGTATGACAGTCTTTCGCTTGGTGGTATCCAAGCTCTTGTCCAATGTCCTAGGAGAAATGAGGTCTCATGAATGAATTGAAGGATGGTAAATGCGGATGATTTTCTTGCCAATGGAAAGGGACCTGAAAAGGAGATAGTGTGGGAAGCTAATCTTCCCCTGAAGTCCGGCCACCTCTGGCCAATTTCTTCTCCGAAGTTATGCCATCAAGCTCTCCCTCTGAAGTCAAGCCACTTCTCTCCAATGTCATCCAACCACAGTCTCCTACACCCACCTGCTTCTCTTCTCTATGATGGCTGAGCTTGGGGTTTTTATGGGCACAGGATGGTGGGTACATCAGGCCATGGATTTTTTTTTTGGAAAAGGGAACATTCAAACAGGAAAACAGGGATGTAAGTTCTCACTTTGGGCCACAGCTTCATATTTTTCGGATTGAGGGTGGGCCCTCGCCAGAGACCTGCCCTCATCTTCCCAGAATCTCCCTGCCTCCTGTCCCTATCACTACAATCAAGCTCAGCTTATTTAAAGTTATAATCCGTAGATGTGTAAAATCTGGACCATGCTTTTCCCCTAATATTACAATATGCATTTTTAAATAGTTTATAAGACTCTCAACCAAAGTAACCTAAGGTACCTGCAACACTACCATACTAATGTGAACATGTTGGATACAAAGAACACAATGTTATAAGGGTGTCAAGTGCTAAAATACTAAATGTATTGAGTACTTAGTTTGCATGATATATCTATTACATTAAGATATAGTATTGGACTCTGAAAAACACAAAAGAATTTCAGGCATGAGGATTCCCTCCATTCAAGGGCTAATAGCCTAGTTGAAGAAACTTGAACACTGAATGCAGACAAAATGACACTAACGAAGAGCAGCATATAAAATACCTACAAAGTTCAACTCAGGTTAAGAAAAGGGAAATATTTTTGTGTACTAGTTTGCACATGATCGAATGCATCTTGGAGTGGTGGAAAATGTGTTTACAAATGGGTTCATATACTTGATTTAAAAAATCCATTGCTAAATGTTTAGTTTGCCATTTTAATACTTTAGATTTATACCTCTATAATCTTATTCTGTCCAAATTCATGTATAATCTGTACTGGCTGTCTATTCTAAATTAATAAAAAGTAAATTATTAAATATCATATTTAAATATCCATTTCACAGTTTTATTGATTTAACTCTCAACTAGGATCTTCTAGTATCTCCAAATAGCATTTTAAAGAATACAATTTTGGGGAAAAATGTATAAGGTTATGATCTATTTAAAGAAAAACGAGTTATTTGGGCCAGCATCCATAATTTCTATGGGAAAAATATCTAATTTTGAACAGAGAGACTACATACTTCATATGACTTCAATTATTTTACGTTTTTTGATACTTGATTTATGTCTTAAAATGTGGTCTATTTTAGCTTATTTCTACAAACATTCAGAGATAATGTGTCTTTGAGTCCTGTAGAATGAAGTGTTTGACCTAATCAATTAGTGTTTGACCTAATCAATTAGGTCAAATATATTAATGTGTTGTTAAAGCATTCTTTATCCTTAATAATTTGTCATCTACCTATCCCATCAATTACTGTGAAATTATCATTGAAATTTAAGAATATAATTGTGTATTTATCTATTTCTTCTGTAATATCTATCAGTTATCATTTTGCATCTCTGTCAGTATGGATAAAAAATTCAGGACACTTATTGTACTAGATGAATTGAGTTCTCTATCATTATGAAATGATCTTCATTTTTGTAACAGAATTGGTTCTGAAATCTACTCTACCTGTATTTTTGCTCTTAAATTGACTACAGCTTTCTTTTTATTTGTGTTAATGCAATATATACTGCATTATAGATACATACATATGTATATATAAATTCTTTCTCTATATCTATAATTATCTATCTATCTATCTATCTATCTCAGAGAGACAGCGCTATGTGTTCATCTTTAAAGCAGTTTTTTGATAACATATTTTAGGGCTTACTTTTTTATTCAATCTGATAAATTTTGTCTTTTAATTGGTATAACTAGGTCATTTAAATTTAGCATGATTATTAATAGGTTTAAGTCTGTATTGTTATTTGTTTCCTATTAAAATATTTTTGTTATTGTTTTATACATTTTGTGCACTCTCATGAATTACATTTTTTGTATTATATTTTATTTCCTTTATTGGCTTATTTTTTCATTAATATCCGTTTTTCCCATTATTTTTCCATTTTATGATAATTTATTGATCTAGAGTGTACATTATTACCTACCTCAGTTTAAATTAATGTGACATTCTACCACTTTACAATGAATGTGAGAACTTACCGTAGCATTCTTTATTTTCTCCTCTCCAGGCTTTGTGCAATTATCATCACATATTTGACTTCCACACATTCTACAAACCCCATGTTATATTGTTATTACTGTTACAAACAGGCAATTATCCTTTAAAGGCATTTTTATAATGTGAAAAATCTGACATATTTACCCATGTAGTAACCATTTCTAGTGGTATTTTTTTTCCTTTGAATAGATTTATATTACTATCTGCTAACTTGTTTTGCACAAAGGAAATTTTAAGCACTTCTTATAAGATGGATTTGCTGGTTATTAACTATTTCATATTTATAGGTCTAAAACGTCATTGTTCCACTTTGTTTTTGAAAGATATTTTTGCTAATGATAGGACACTAGTAATACAGGTTTAGGCTTTACCTCCCTTTTGATACTTTAAAGCCATTGGTCTGCTTTTTTCCTCTTTCACTGTTTCTGATGAGAACTCTGCTGTCATGCTTATGTTATATATCTCTACAAAATGTGTCTTTTTTGTTCTGCTGATGCTTATAAGATTTTTATCTTTACACTGGTTTTGAGGAATTAAATTATTTTCATATCATGAACAGAAGTTATGTTTATAATTTTTGATGTACTGCAATATGGCTAAATAGGACACTCACTTGCTTTGAAGGGAATTTGCCTTTTACTGATCAGAAGAAACAAACATTCTCTGCCTCCTCAAATCTTAGAAGCATTTTACTTATGATATTTATGTGTTAATCAGTAACAATCTAGTCTAGCTACAGTTTAATATGAAACATTAGGAACTTGGACTGTTAACACTTTTAGGTGCAGGAATATCATGTAATTATTTTTAATAAGTAATCATTTATAATAAATTATTTTACATTTACACAACAGTGTAAGTTTTCTGTTTACATTTAATCTTTAGCTTTGTGCTCCTTAATAATATATAGTTTTAATTCCCCAAATCAACCTTTTCTATGATGAATAATTTGTAATCGTTTATTTTTTATTTAACTATAACATTTAATTTCTTGGCATACTTTTAAATGAAATCAAGATTCACCAAGAATTTGTTATAGGTATGTAATATAGGTTAGTACATAAATACATAAATAAGTAGATAGAAAAGCCTGGGCAACATAGTGATACCTTATCTCTACAAAAAATAAAGAAAGTTAGCCAGGCATGGTGGCACGTACCTATAGTCCTAGCTACTCAGGAGGCACATGTGGGAGGATGACTTGAGCCCTGGAGGTTGAGGCTGCAGTTAGCTGAGATTGTGCCACTGCACTCCAGCCTGGCTGATGGAACAAGACTCTGACTCAAAAATAAATAAATAGTTGAAAGTGAGAGGAATGGGGGAAGAAAAAGGAAATAAGAAATATCTGGATAGGTAAATAGCCAAATGAATCTGGCTTACATTGTCTCTGAATCAAGCAAAGGTTTAATCATTTATGTTTTGATATATTTTGACATGTAATATTCAGTAGAATTTTGGCTTGAACCTCATTGTTGTTTAGCTAAGTGCATTCACCATGGAGATTAGTAAGTTCCTAATGATAATTTAATTTTATTCACCCTGGAAGCAAGATTTTTGGCCCAGAGAAGAAGTGATTTTCTGTTTTTACCCACGAAGGCCAGTTATTTTATTCCTTTAGTTCTTTTTAGAAAATAAAGTGTTCCCAGTGAAGAAAAGATTACTAAATAAAATAAAAAATGGCATAAGAAACACAAAGAATATTAAGATACTTAGAATTAATATTCTGCATACCTAAGTCAAAAAGTTAATTAAAACTGCCATTTTAGTTTGAAACAGTAAGCCAATGCCTGCCAATAAATCAAATGCTTGCTAAACTGGCTTTAGTTAATAATTATATTAGGAATTCACGACTACCCAGTTTATGTATAGAAAAAATGAAATGTTGAGAAAACAGAGATCAAAATGTTATTACTACAAACTTTTGAATATGCAAGACTCCACATCAAGATTAACTCTAATTTCTACCTCAGGATTAGGCATCACTGGCTGGAATTTATTTCCTTGACATGATTTAGAAAGATGATTCAGTAAAGTATTAAATCATTATCTCCTCTTTTAAAAAATCATGAATAACCTGGGTTAGGTTCAAAGAGTCAATTTGGTGAGAATTCTAGGATTTTGAGTAATATTTAAATTTCAATTCAAAATGGATTCAATACAAAAAAGTATATACACAACAGCTTTAAGTAAATCAAAAATTAAAATGATGAATTTTTGTTGAAATATGTGTTGACCAGATTATTCACTATCTTCTTGAATGAAATGAAATCTTCTCACTGTTGCCTTTAATTTGTTTTTGTTTTAATGTATGGAATTGCAATCACAATGAAACTGCATAGCTTGTTTCCTGCCTACATAAAATCTTGTCACGACTAAGGCTCCATCTCTCGCTTCCAGAGTGTTGCTAATTTATGCTACTTGTGTTTCTTAAAAATTACATCTGTGAGCTCTGAAGGAAAAAATCCAGGTCATAAAGCTAGTAATTAGGACTTACAAAAACTTAAAAACTTTAGCTAATTGGATATATGATATCACTGGAATTAAAATTAATTTGAAATTCTAAAACTGTTAAATCTAAGTATTTTCAAAATAGCAATCTATGTGGAATGTGCATACTCCAAGCAAATCTCTTAAGACAAATTTTCTTGTTATTGCATTGTCCCACTAACTAAAACACACTAAATGAGTAAGCCGTTCATGTGTTTTCCAAAATTCTATGTTACTTTTAATGGAATATTTCATGTATCCAAAAAGGAATGACAATAATACTCATAAATTTGAAACCCAAATGTCATCCCCATTAAAAATAGCCCATATAGATTAGTAAAGCCTCTTACACAAATCTCTATGATTCCATTTCCCTCCTCTTTATCTTGTGGGTAACCATTATTCTATGTGTGAAGGTTGTTATTCTTATATATATTGCTCCCAACAAACGCTTATCTAAGCTCTAGGGAGATTGTAGTAAATAATACTGTAAACATTTTCATGCACATATGTTATGTCAGATTGTGAGAAGTACTATAAAAAAATAAAGAAAGCAAGAGTAATTGGGATAGGCAGAGCTATCATTTAAACACACACACACACACACACACACACACACACCACAAGTCTCTCCAATTATATGCTCCTTCAATGACTTCATTGATCAGTTAATATTTCAGCAGGAATTGGAAGAAAGTAAAGGACAAGGCATATGGATATTTTGCAAAACAGAATTACAGATAAATGTTCAAAGATCTAAATCAGAACAATCTGTGTTTGAAAAATGAGGCTGGTGTGGCTGAGATATGAAGTCATAGATAAATTGGGGTAGACAATATAGAAATGATGTTTTAATAGATTTTGATTTTATTCTGAGTGCTATGGAAGGCATTGCAGGGTTCTGAGTGGAGGATTGATATTTTCCAATTCACACTTCAAGAAACCACTTTGGTAGCTGTTGAAAATGGGTTATTGGAAGGCAAGGATGAAAAGTTGGAGACCTGTTTGGAGACTATTACAAATATCCAGGTAAGAGAACAATAGTGACTTGGGACCAAGTGGTAGGGATAAAAATTAGATTGATTCTGGGTATAATATGAAGAGACATTTCAGAGTTTTTTCTGGTACATTAGATATCTGATATAAAACATACCATTTTGCTTATACACTGCTGGCAGAAATGTAAATTAGTTTCATCATTGTGTAAAGCCATGTGGCGATTACTTGAAGAACTTAAAACAGAAGTAGCTGGAAATACAGGTGCCTGCCACAACGCCCGGCTAATATATATATATATATATATTTTATTTTTAGTAGAGATGGCGTTTAACCGTGTTAGCCAGGATGCTCTCGATCTCCTGACCTCGTGATCCGCCCGCCTCGGCCTCCCAAAGCGCTGGGATTACAGGCGTGAGAAGTAGCTGGGAGGCTGAGGCGGGAGAATGGCCTGAACCCTGGAGGTAGAGTTTGCAGTGAGCCAAGATCGCGCCACTGCACTCCAGCCTGAGTGACAGAGCAAGACTCCGTCTCAAAAAAACAAAACAAAACAAAACAAAACAAAACAAAAACAGAAGTAGCATTCGACCCAGCAATTTCATTATTCTCTATATACCCAAATGAATATAAGTTGGTCTACCATAAAGACACATGCATACATATATTCATTGCAGTACTATTCACAATAGCAAAATCAAGGAATCAACCTAAATGCCCATTAATGGTAGATTTGATAAAGAAAAGGTGGTATGTATACCCCATTGAATACTACACAATCGTAATAAAGAAGAAGAACATGTCCTTTGCAGGCAACATGGATGGAGCTGGAGGCCATAACCAAAGACTGCATGTTTTCACTCGTAAGTGGTAGCTAAACATTGAATACACATGGACACAAAGAAAGTAACAACAGCGACCATGGCCCACTTAAGGGCAGAGCATGAGAGGAGGGAGAGCATCAAAAAACTACCTATTGGGTACTATGCTTATTACCTGGGTGACAAAATAATCTGAACACCAAATCCCGATGACATGCAATTTAGCTATATAACAAACCAGCCCATATATCCCTGAACCTAAAATAAAAGTTAAAAAATAAAAATAAATAACTAAAAGAGACATTTTCTGTTTTGTGTAATCTTTTGATTAACAAACATTTTTAATTTTAATATAATCCAATGTATCATTCATTTTTATGATTTATAATTTTTATATCCTCTTCTTCCCCAATAACATAATTGCATTTCCCTAAACGTTCTTGTAAATATTTATATTATTATTTCTATGATTTCAATTCACTTGGGATGTATCTTCGTGCCTGGTGTAAGGCAGGGATACTTGTTTATTTTGCTCATATGTACAACCCCTGTCACTGCACTGTTTATTGATCAATCCTTTTTTCTCCTGTTGAGAAGTAGTGCCCTATCTGTTGTATATGAAGTCCTCATATATGTGTGGTTTATTTCTGGGCTCCATAATCTTTTCTAATGCTCTTTTTCTATATTTAACATATTCAAAGCATTATTTACTGAAGTTTGATAAATCATAACATAAGGAAAACAAATTCTCCGCTTTTTCTTTTCTTTTCTTTTTTTTTTTTTTTTTTTTTGAGATGGTGTCTCTCTCTGTCGCCCAGGCTGGAGTGCAGTGGCGCCCTCTAGGCTCACTGCAAGCTCCGCCTCCCGGGTTCACGCCATTCTCCTGCCTCAGCCTCCCTACAGGCGCCTGCCGCCACGCCCAGCTAATTTTTTTTTGTATTTTTAGTAGAGACGGGGTTTCACTGGTCTCGATCTCCTGACCTCGTGATCCGCCCTCCTTGGCCTCCCAAAGTGCTGGGATTACAGGCGTGAGCCACCACGCCCGGCCAATTCTCCGCTTTTTCAAACGCTATTGCTTTTGTTCTTGGCTAATTATATCTCCATATTTATATTGAAATGAGTTTCATAATTTCCCAATTATTATTGGTATGGTTTTTTATTAAAATGTCAAATTATGGGTTAAAATAGAGATGTTTAACATATTGATGTCAGATTTACTTATCCACAGACACAAAATATCTAGCTCTTCATTAACATGTTTCAAAAGCATATTTAATTATTCAATTACAAAGTCATGACATTAATTTTTTTTTTTTGAGACAGAGTCTTGCTCTGTTGCCCAGGCTGGAGTGCAGTGGCATGATCTTGGCTCACTGCAACCTCTGCCTCCCGAGTTCAAGTGATTCTCCTGCCTCAGCCTCCCAAGTAGCTGGGATTACAGGTGCCCACCACCACACCCGGCTAATTTTTGTATTTTTAGTAGAGACAGGGTTTCACCATATTGGCCAGGCTGGTCTTGAACTCCAGACCTTGTGATCCACCGACCTTGGCCTCCCAGAGAGCTAGGTTACAGGCGTGAGCCACCACACCCAGCCTGATGTTATAATATTTAAACTCAAAACTTCTAATAGTCAAAAATCTAATTTTAAGATTTACTTATTTTATGAAAACATGAATAGTCATGTACTTGAAGAATATAAATGCTTACAGTTGGTAAATTATAATGAGGGAAAGATTGGCTGAGGCAAAGTTTTAGTCAGGGAAAGAAGATGGAAATGTGTGATTTAAGAAATCAAAAGGAATTTAAGTGAACTAAATCAGAAAAAAATAGTAAGTAAAGAATAATGCTTTTGTGGGGTAAAGAAAAATAAGGTGCAAGGCTTTCATAAATATAGATACTACATAGATATATACCTATTTGGTATAAGCTTAAAGGTACGAAGGTATTGATACAAACAACCCACACTGGTTACCTGGAGGGTGTGGCATTACAAGATAATTGGGGAAGAAGAGAATATTAACTATTATTTTTAATATACCACAGTATTTTTACCTCGCATTTTTGATAATGTATTGTTACTTTTAAAATTAGCAAATAGTTAATTAAATAATTTAAAAACAAATTAGTGAGAACATTTGGTAGCAGCTGGCCATCAGCTAACAACTCTGCTGTTAACATTTGTAATAATAACCAAGATTTCATCTAACTTCCTCTTCCTTTTTTCCCTAATCCACAAAACACAGATCAGGGAAACTGAGATTCATTGTTTAACTCCCATCCTCCTGCTCTGCAAAGTATTGCCTCAATTAAATTTTTAAAAATTAAGAGTGGAAAATATAAAAGATGGGAAAAAAAGTGGAAAACCAGGGTAACTTACAATGAGACAGGGAGAAACAGAGAAAAAATATGAGAAATGAAAACAAAATTTATAGAACTTGGGATTTATAACTGTCGTAAAAAGCCATAGATAGTACATTGGCAGAGAAGTTACATATATTTACAATAATAAAGACACATTAACAGAATTTTTAATTCTGTAAAATAATTTTGCTTAATTACTTGTAATAGAGAAATGATTTTCCCACATGATATAAGAGTTGAGTGCATGGCAAAAGTAGTTTCCATGTCAACTTTTATTAATCAAGTTATATCCAATGTGTTGATACTCTAAAATAACATTCCATAGTCACAAATAAAAGTTCGTCATTTTTTAATTTTGTTTACTTACTTATATATGTGTTTATTTTATTCACAGTAGTAGTATCTGATCTCTTTAACCCTATGCTGAAAATTCTTAATTATGGAAATTAATTAAAGTGATTAACATATATCCAACCTAGTTAAGGAGTTTGATATTACTGTTGTAAAGGGAGGACTGAGCCTTGCAAATCAAACATAAATACTTTATTTAGAAGGCCCTGGATTTCCAATTCCTTAAGATTGCTTTAGTGAAATATTAAAACATAAATTAGAAAAGATAAATACAAGAATAAACATACAGAAACATATCAGTGCCTTTAAAATTCTGAGACAAAATTGTTTTGATTAAAACATTTAAATAATTTTTCAGTTTTAATGAAACAGGAATTTCAATGCTGTATTATAAACATTTTAAACATTATGACATATAAGTTATTTATATCTTGTATAAATACTGTTTAATAGGATGTAGGTTTATTTTTGGCTTTTGTTTTGTTTAATTTTGTTTTCTCTTGGGCTTTAGTTTGTTTCCAGAGAATTCCTTACTGATTATTTAGGAAAATGGAATGAAATTATCCTAGGAGATCCTAACTACCATCGAGAAGTTCAAGTTCAGTTCACAAAGACTCCATCCTATTGAGTTATAAGTTTATACAAGAAAATAAATCTACCGATATTAATTGTCTCTGCAAATTTGCGTAAAGAGAATGTATTTATTAAGCACTTAATGAAAGTGCAATGTATTTAAAAACTGAAATTTCTTTTCAGTTAGGTATATTTTGTAATTGGTAACTATGAAGATAGGTGGTTATAAGTGGGAGCATTTACTGTGCTTGAAAAATTCCGTTGTATCATTCAGAAAAAAATAATTTTGCCACCATTACAACAAAACTTCATAAAGGGTTATCTTCTGTTAAAAATGTTCTCGTTGATTTCTGTCACATCTTAATTTCTGAATTCTGTAGATATTTTACACATCCAATTTTACCTCAGAAGAGTCATTTTGTTCCCATATTTGTGGGTGATTTCCACATGTGATTTTGTCCTAGTCTTGGTTTCACATAATATAAAAGCGATGACTATAATGATGGTCATACAATTTGAATCTCTCCATCTTCCTTTTAGAAGCTACACACATCAACAGGAAAATCAAATACCATCACTCTTATCCAGATTTACAGAGGAAGCAGGAGACAAAAGGATCTCAATTTAATTGGAGAAATAAATAAGAGCTGCTGAGTCAGCCCCTTAGCAGAGAATCAGGCAGGGCATGCACAGATAAAGAGTTTGGGCCCTTTAAAGTGGATAAGCTCTGAAAATATACCCACAGCTTACACCCAGAAGGTTATTCTCCACACCTAAGTGAAACATTTTAAAGTGAATTTGAGTTCTGGAGGTTCAGAAGAATAGTTACAAGGAAGCTAAAAAGAAAGGGCTTGGAAAGTGTGGAGGTTCAAGCTCACAGTTTTGGAAAAGAGGCACCTTGGATGGTGATTTCTGGTTTTGTAAAGAAGGCTAATAAAGAAAAAATGGCCCTATTTATACAAGTACTAAAGGTTTAGAAGACAGACAGAAAGCACTATTCATTGAAGATATGACTCTTCTCTCTAGAAACAATAGAAATAGTAAAAGAACCAAAAAAATCAAACTAAATATGCCATCTAACCCTTCTCCCATAGGGTTTCTAACTGTAGCTGATCTAGAAAAACAACACAAATGTGTGTAAAGTGAGGGTGTGGAGAAGACATCAGAATCAAGCATCCTTAAAAAGTACCATAAAGAACAGAAGATAAATGGACCAAATTGTCTTTCTTATTGCTTTTCTTTTTTTTTTTTTTTTTTTTTTCAGACGGAGTTTTGCTCTTGTTTCCCAGGCGGGAGTGCAATGGCGTGATCTCGGCTCACCGCAACCTCTGCCTCCCGGGTTCAAGCAGTTCTCCTGCCTCAGCCTCCCGGGTACCTAGATTACAGGCATGTGCCACCACGCCGGCTAATTTTGTATTTTTAGTAGACACGGGGTTTCTCCATGTTGGTCAGGCTGGTCTCAAACTACCGACCTCAGGTGATCCTCCTACCTCAGCCTCCCAAAGTGCTGGGAGTACAGGCATGAGCCCCTGCGCCTGGCCTCTCTTTCTTATTTCTAAGTGACTATATTTAAGAAAAAAACAAAACAAAACAAAAAAGAACATGTTATACACACACACACACACACACACAAAATACCTACATGCTCATTAAATACTATTTTCCTGTGCCATCTAAGCATATGTTACAGCTGTTAACACTATTCTATATATCATATAAAATATCTTTTCCCCTGGATTATAAAGGATTGAAAATAACATTTATTAAATATGAAAGTTTCAATCAGTAGGAAATAAGTTAAAGTAGAAACAACAGCCAGCTCAGTATCTACATTGTTTTATAGCTTTATTAAATAAGAATCTGCTTATTAGTCTGAAGTATAATGGCTAAAGTAATATATTTATACTCTCATCCTATTAATCACAACTCCTTAAGAAAATTGCCACCAATAGTTTTTTCCTCTACAAATAAGCCAACAATAAAAAGAGGTAAAATATAGATGATAAAATACAGGAAAAATGTAGAAGAGATGCCTGAGCACAAATAGAAACAATTAAGAATGAGGAATATTGAGTATAGAAAGAGAAACGGAAAAGAAATAGAAATAAAATCACACATTAAAAATGATCACAAAACAGGAAAATGACATATATTGAAGACTGGAAATAGAACAAAATTAATATTTTTGTTCTATTAAAGAAATCCTTCCTGAAATGGGGTCAGGGACTTTGAATCTACGTAATTCAAGGTTTCAGAACTTGCCAGGGAAAAATAATAATACTAATTATTATTATTAATTTTATTATATTTA
This sequence comes from Homo sapiens, assembly GCF_000001405.40. Taxonomy (NCBI): domain Eukaryota; kingdom Metazoa; phylum Chordata; class Mammalia; order Primates; family Hominidae; genus Homo; species Homo sapiens. The sequence continues at coordinate 55,438,905 of NC_000010.11, forward strand.
TTTATTTTTTTTGAGACAGAGTCTCCCACTGTCACCCAGGCTGGAGTGCAGTGGCACGATCTCGGCTCACTACAAGCTCCGCCTCCCGGGTTCACATCATTCTCCCACCTCTGCCTCCCGAGTAACTAGGACTACAGGCGCCCACCACCACGCTTGGCTAATTTTTGTTTTTGTATTTTTAGTAGAGATAGGGTTTCACTGTATTAGCCAAGATGGTCTCGATCTCCTGACCTCGTGATCCACCTGCCTCAGCCTCTCAAATTATTTTTTCCAGTCAAAGTATAAGGACCTCCAAGTAAAACAGACCAAGTCACATACACAGGAAAGAAAATGAGACATGAGTCAGAATTCTGGATGGCAGCACACAGGGTATGACAGCAGTGAAGTAACAAGAAGAAATCCATGATTTCTTTCACTGGACAAGTATATATCCACCTAATCTGACCTTCAAGTATAAACTCTACAGAAATAAAGTTCCAAATATGCCACAATAGAATTAACATTGTGCGCAAGAGCCACTATTACCAGAGAACCTAATAGAGAATGACCTTCATTCCAGAAAATATGAGTAGAAAAAAAATGAGCAAAAAATTAATGTAGCTGAAGACTTTAGATTAAAATAAAAGTTGGGGGGGAGGGATAAGAGTAAATATGTATCAGGTTGGTGCAAAAGTTATTGCAGTTTATGGCATTTTTTTTTTTAAATGATGAAAACCGCAATTACTTTTGCACCAACTTAATATGGTGACAAAATAGAAACATATAACTAAAATATGGACAAAGAAGGGAGAGGAGACAAACAGAAATCACTCACTGATTGCTTGGTAGGTAATAGGTGGAAGTTTAAGATATAATTCAAAGCTGACAAACAGGATAGCAGAATTGAAATAAGGGAAAGGTAATAAGGCTACTATAAAAAGTTTTAGTGTGGAGGCAAACACTAGAATGAAACAGAATTTCCCAAAGAAAAAAGTAAAATAAAACTCTAAAATTTAAGATTGCCATGAAACTGAAAACACAATAAATAATTCAGTGTATATATAATACAAAGTGTATAGAAGAACTGAGACAAGAGGTCCGTTGTACTGATGAATGGAAATAAGCTTAGCTCACTTATTAAAAACAAAATGTGTTGTTATTGGCATATAGACGAAAACTTGACGCTGTTATATAAAAGACACATTTTACTTGTAATTGGAATGGATAAAAATAAATGGTCAATATCATGTAAGACAAATGTGAACAAAAAATAAACTGAGGGTGGTGATAGGGATATCTGACAAGTTATAATTTACATCAAATAATAAAATGGAACAAAGTACGACACCAAACAACACAGCTGTGAGGAATACTCTTCATAATGTCAAACAATTAAAATAAATAAAAGGAGAACAGAAATGCACTAGTTATATGCAACCTTGACACATTTCTCTTAGTGCAAAACAAATCATGTGGACGAGAAATGCATAAGAATATAGAAAAGCCAACTGATCAAATTAATGAGGTAGTTATTGTGGATTTTTAGTGGATATATAACTAACAATTCAGAAAAGTGGCAAAGTAAACAAAATGAGAGAAAGACATAAGCAAAATGGTATGTTTTAATAGAGAAAAACACTGAGGCCAATAAATATGCTGCTTCTTTGAAAAATATCTAAATTCAGAAAAGAAGTCAGAAATGTACACACACACCCAAACTAATAAGGGGAAATAAATAATTGGTACTGTAAAAATTGATCATATGATTGGGTCTTTCTTTACATAACTAACTGTAACAGAGTCAAGAGGCCAGGAGTAAAAAGCACTCCGGGCATGTATCAGTCCGTTTTCACACTGCTGATAAAGACATACCTGAGACTGGGTAATTTATAAAGAAAAAGTGGTTTAATGGACTCACAGTACCAAGCAGCTGGGGAAGCCTCACAGCCATGGCGGAAGACAAAAGGCACATCTCACAAGGTTCCAGACAAGAGAGAATGAGGACCAAGCAAAAGGGGTTTCCCCATATAAAACCATTAGATCTGATGAGACTTATTGGCTACCATGAGAACAGTATAGGGCAACTGCCCCCCATGATTCAATTATTTCCCACTGGGTCCCTCCACACAACATATGGGAATTACAGGATCCACAATTCAAGATGAGATTTGGGTGGGGACACAGCCAAACCATATCAGGGCATAAAACATTACTCTAAGAATGTAATTCTCTACAAGTCTAATTTCTGAAACTGCCTGTTCTTACCTAAAAGCAGTTTTATCTAATAGCTACTGAAACAACCAGCTCTGACTGTAAGATTAGTTTTACCCACCTCTGTAACCAATCAGAACTTGCCTATTAACTTTCTTTCAAAACAATAAGTAGCATTTCTCCTTTTTATAAAATCTCCAAACTTGTCTTTGTTCTTTGGACATACTGAAGACCACCTAGCCTTTGTGTTTGTTCTGAATTGCAAATTTTCATTTCCCAAATAAAATATTTTAAATTGAGAGATTGTCTGTTACAGACACTGGAAATTTAAAACAACAAATTTGAAAGACCAAAAGAAAGGAAGGAAGGAAACCAATTAGTCACTTTTTCTAAGAAAATATATTTCATAAAAACTGACTGACTGCAGCAGAGACAGGCTTAATTTGCAATTTTCTAAGAAGTAGTGGGATTTATCTAAGACCTCTTTCCTACCCACACTAAGACACAGTCTCATATATTTTCAAAGGGGAATCCTACCACATCTTCAGAAACAAGATAATCCTAACAACATTTTAAGAAGCACAGAAAAATGAAAATAACAATGATACCTGTGATAGAGTGAATGGTGGCTCAAAAAATATATGACAATCTCCTAACTCTGATCTTATTGATCTTGTTTGGAAAAAGGACCTTTGCAGATGTAATTAAGTTAAGGATCTTGAGATTCAGAGATTACTGTAGAATATCCAGGTGTGCCTTACATGGCATCACAAGTGTTCTTATAAGAAGAGGCTGAGAGAAGTTGGGCACACACAGAGAGCACAAGGCTATGTGAAGATGGAACACAAAGAGATGCGGCCACATGTCAAGGAATGCTGACAGCCCCCAGCAGGTGGAAGAGGCAAGGAATGGATTATCTGTAGAGCAACTAAAGGGCATGTGGCTCTGCTGATGGCTGAGTTTTGGCATTCTGGCCCCAAAAATCTGTGAGAACTAGTAAGTAACTATTAAATTACCAAGTTTGTAGTCATTTGTTAGCAGCACAGGAAACTAATAGGTACCTAACCCTGCGAAAAGTGGAAAGAAAAGAGAACTGCAGAGCAATATAAATGCAAAAATCTGAAGCAATATGTTAAAAAGAACAATATACTGGCAGATTTTTAAGAAATGATGATGGATACTTATTCTAGGATTGCATGCAAACCTCAATATTAGTAAATCCATTAATTCAGCGATGAGAATTAGAAGAAAAGTAATATGCAGTCATGTGTTCCTTTTTTTTTTAATTACCAAAAAGGCAATGTTTATTTCTGGTTTTCACAAACTTAATAAAATAGAAATAGATGTTTTCTTAATTTGATTATATATATATATATTATATATATATTATATATATATATATATATGTAAGCTGGGGCTTCAGTAACTTACCATGAAGTCTGGACTGAATTTATCTGTGACAAATTAATTATTATCATCTTTATTATCTATGGGTGGGGATAGCCTTTGTAGCTATGACTCAGAATCAAGTTTCTGAAACTTTTAATTAATTAAGCCAAAAAAAAGAGATCCTGTAAATAAATATTAATCTATTTATTTATGTAGATGCAAAACTGCAAATGTTAATGATAAACTAGATTGTGAATGCACGGATGCTCATTGTTCTATTCTTTCTACTTTTACCTATGTTACCCATTTTTTTCCAGATTAAAAAAGAGGTATACTTCAATGAGATCTCCTTTGGTGCCCACCAAAAGCAAGTTTAGTGATAATTGTGTATCACGTTTTGTCCCAATTTTAAAAAGGAGAAGAATGGAACATTCCAGATCAAGAGGAAAAAGATATAGATATTATAGTACAAATCTAGGATAAATAGAGAATTTAACTTTTAGAATTCACTCGTTATCTTGGTAGTCATAAATGAAAAGTGCTAGTTTAATGGGGAAAGGATTCCCTATTTCATAAATGGTATTGGGAAAACTGGCTAGCCATATGCAGAAAACTGAAACTGGACCCCTTCCTTACACCTTATACAAAAATTAACTCAAGATGGATTAAAGATTTAAACATAAGACCTAAAACCATAAAACCCTAGAAGAAAACCTAGGCAATACCATTCAAGACATAGGCATGAGCAAAGACTTCATGACTAAAGCAAGAAAAGCATTTGCAACAAAAGCCAAAATTGACAAACGGGATTTAATTAAACTAAGAGCTTCTAGAGAGCAAAAGAAACTATCATCAGTGTGAACAGGCAACGTACAGAATGGGAGAAAATTTTTGAAATCTATCAAAGGGCTAATATCCAGAATCTACAAGGAACTTAAACAAATTTACAAGAAAAAAAACCAAACAGCCTCATCAAAAAGTGGGCAAAGGTTATGAACAGACACTTCTCAAAAGAAGACATTATTGCGGCCAAAAACCATATGAAATAAAAGCTCATCATCACTGGTCATTAGAGAAATGCAAATCAAAACCACAGCAAGATACCATCTTGCTCCATTTAGAATGGTGATCATTAAAAAGTCAGGGAACAAAAGATGCTGGAGAGAATGTGGAGAAATAGGAACCATTTTACACTGTTGGTGGGAGTGTAAATAAGTTCAACCATCGTTGAAGACAGTGTGGTGATTCCTCAAGGATCTAGAACTAGAAATACCATTTGACCCAGCAATTCCATTACTGGTTATATACCCAAAGGATTATAAATCATTCTACTATAAAGACACATGCACATGTATGTTTATTGCAGTGCTATTCACAACAGCAAAGACTTGGGACCAACCAAAATGCCCATCAATGTCAGGCTGGATAAAGAAAATGTGGCACACATAAACCATGGAATACTATGCAGCCATAAAAAAGAATGAGTTCATGTCCTTCGAAGGGAAATGCATGAAGCTGGAAACCATCATTCTCTGCAAACTAACACAGGAACAAAATATCAAACACCATATGTCCTCACTCATAAGTGGGAGTTGAACAATGAGAACATATGGGCACAGGGAGAGGAACATCACACACCGGGGCCTATCGGGGGGTGGGGGGTAAGGGGAGGGTTAGCATTAGGAGAAATACCTAATGTAGATGATGGGTGGATGGGTGCAGCAAACCACCATGGCACGTGTATACCTATGTAACAAACCTGCACATTCTGCACATGTACCCCAGAAAGTAAAGTGTAATTAAAAAAAAAAAAGAAAACAAGAGTGCTAGTTTTATTTTTTTATTTTAAAGTTTCTATTTTTATAAGCAGACACACAAATACACATGTACATCTTTATGTCTCACTATTAATAAAAGCTGCTCATCTCCTAAAAATTACTAATAATTGGGATGGCCTGTTAATTTAAAGTTGCTATATTTAGGAAATTGGAAAATAAATCAGGAAGTGAACATTCCTGATATGATACAAATATCATAGTAAAAGAAAAATAAAAACATTTATTGTTAATTGATTATTAATTCAAATGAAATAATAGAGATATAAAACATTGTCTTTAGGTTAGGTAATAAAGTAAAACAAAGAAATTGCCAAAGTTTATTAGAAATTAGAATCTCTTGCCAAAACAGCAAGGAAGAAGAAATCTAAATCCAGCTCTGCTGTAGTAACGAAAGTGAAAGTATTGTCAAGTATTCTCATATAATTTCCATTTCCCATTTGAAGCCACCTTAAACATTAAAAGCACTATTCTATCAATTTGATTAAAATTGACAAATTGTTGAATCATAAATTAGCCACAAATATATTTGCTAGCACTGAAAAACATTCAGAACTACGCTAAATGACATTTAAACACATATTCATCTCGTGACAGATGAAAAGGGAAAATAGGAACTAAGCTGAAGATGATGAATATATTTAATATTTCATACTGATTCTATAGATTCAAATGCATAGAATTAAACGGAGAAAGAAGGGAGGTGAAGGAAAAAGGATTGACTGGAAAATTAAATATGAATGAAACTCCCAAAAAAAGAAAGGGAACATTAAAGTCCCAATCATGCCTATTGGGATGTCTAAATTTGAAATTATACAAAAATTGTGAATATAGACATGTCAGTGTCAATGTCCTGCTTTCTCTCTGCTTTTTCTTTCTTCAGTGTTCACCTAATGAGGCAGAAACGTCTGTTTAAGTTCCTAGACTGGTGTTTGAACACCTTGGTTTTCCTGCTTTTTTTTTCTGCATCCATGGTAAATAATCTAAATTACAGTGAATAAAAGGGATGAAAACTCCCAACCAGGGAAAAATACCATTCAACTCCTCTGTTACCAGAAAATGAAGTGTGAACCAGGTCTCAGTTCAACCTTGTTTGTATTCTGACTTCTGAGACACGGGACAAGCTACTCAACCTTTCTGAGCCTCAGTTTCATCTTTAAAAGAAATATTAATAGTAGTAATTATATCTGAAAGCCCATACTACATAAAACAATGAGACACTGAAAAATACATATGCTACAAACCATCTGAAATCAATTGTATTCTTTTTGTGGTTTGCTTTATATACTAGTAAGAGTTGTTTGGGATTCCAGTTAATGTGGTAAGAAATGAAAATACACAATTTATCTCACTTCCTGTCAAGCTCTATTAAAAAGAATAAATGTTAAAAACACCAAAAAAAATCCAAGAGCTTCACAAATGTAAGCATCAGATGTAGGTAGGTGATGAAAACAGGAGGATCACGTGCAACTTTGCATTTCAAACTTCTTGGTCCTTTGATTCATTTCATACAGTTGTATCCCACTACCCCTCCTGTACCTTAAGAAAAGACTCAAATAAAGTTACTCTTTGGAAAAACTGAATCAGAGAAGCCTTTCACTTGAGAAACACCAGACACAGATGAGAGTGGTAAGTGGGGACATACTAGAAACAAGAGGTTTACCAGAAATATTTGTATTAAACAGCAGAAAGGCACACATTGCTTCTGTTCAGTACCTAGAATGCTGGTAGTCAGGCCTATGCCTGAGGCCATCCAGTTTGCAACCATTCCTATATGGGGAGTTTCTAAATAACTTTTTCACTTTTC